>NC_000006.12:15211515-15363030 GCF_000001405.40 Homo sapiens
ACTCTGTCTCAAAAAAAAAAAAAAAAAAAAAAAAAAAAAAAAAGGATGACAGCAATAGACATGAAGAGAAGTGGACAAATTGGGATCCAGGGTATATCTTGTCGGTACAGACAAGAGGATCTGATGTTGGATAGGCTGTTGGGGGTCCGAGAAAAAGGAGGAATGAAGGATGACTCCCTGGTGAATGTCTTGAGCAATTGGGTAGATGATGGTGATATTTATTGAGATAGAGATTAAAGAAGTTTATGCAGAGGAAACATCTGTGCTTCCTTTAACTCATTTGTAAAATGGAAACAGTAGTACCTGCTTCATAAGTTTATGGTCAGGATTAATTAAAATAAAAAGCCAGGTACTAGTATGTCCTCAAATAATGTTAATTAGTTATTGTCATATGCCGAGCATATGACAAAAAATTGAATACCTGCTCTTTTTTTTTTTTTTTTTTTTTTGAGATGGTGCAATCTCGGCTCACTGCAAACTCCGCCTCCCGGGTCCCGGTTCAAGCAATTCTCCTGCCTCAGCCTCCCGAGTAGCTGGGATTACAGGCATGCGCCACCACACCCAGCTAATTTCTGTATTTTTAGTAGAGGTGGGGTTTCACCATGTGGGCCAGGCTGGTCTTCAACTCCTGACCTCAGGTGATCCACCCACCTCGGCCTCCCAAAGTGCTGGGATTACAGGCGTGAGCCACTGTGCCAGGCTGAATACCTGCTCTTGGCTGAATGTGGTGGCTCACTCCTGTAATCCAAGCAGTTTGGGAGGCCAAGGCTGGCAGATCACTTGAAGTCAGGAGTTCAAAACCATCCTGGCTAATATGGTGAAACCCCATCTCTACTAAAAATACAATAAATTAGCTGGACACAGTGGCACGCACCTGTAGTCCGAGCTATTTGGGAGGCTGACGCAAGAGAATCACTTGAACCCGGGAGGCGGAGGTTGCAGTGAGCCAAGATGGCGCCACTGCACTCCAGCCTGGTGGTGACAGAGCAAGACTCCGTCTCAAAAAAAAAAAAAGGAAGCCTAGCATAAATAGAATATGACAAGTTGTTGGAATACGGGATAGTGAGGACAATCTAATTATTCAAGATGGTATAGAAGAAAATTTTCAATACAACAGTCCAAATAACAGAGGAGCTCCAAGACCAAACTGAATACTTTCTGTATTTACAGAAGACAGTCATAGATTCTTTTACAGTGCAGTATCCAACGCAGGCTGAGACTGTTTAACAATATGCTTTCTGAAGAAGTAAAAGAAAGCCGTGATTTGTTGCATTTGCCAGTTTGTGTGGTATAAATACTCCCATTGCAGCCAATTTCAAATTACCAATGTGATGTCAACCAGCTCACAACATTTCTGAAAATTTAACAATTGGTTCTTATAAATGATCTGAGCTATTTTCAGCTCACACTGAACTTAGAATATACTCAGCAAAAAGAGATAAATGATGACACTTAAGGAAGATGAATCTAGTCTAAGCGTTCAGTTTGAATAAGAAATAACAATTGAAGGTAAAAAGCTCTGTATCAGGCCAGGCACGGTGGCTCATGCCTGTAATCCTAGCACTTTGGGAGGCCTAGGTGGGCGGATCACCAGAGGTCAGGAGTTCAAGACCAGCCTGGCCAACATGGCAAAACCCCATCTCTACTAAAAATACAAAAATTAGCTGGGCGTGGTGGCGCATGCCTGTAATCCCAGCTACTCAGGAGGCTGAGGCAGGAGAATCACTAGAACCCAGGAGGCAGAAGTTGCAGTGAGTGAGATCGTGCCATTGCACTCCAGCCTTGGCAACAAGAGTGAAACTCCATCTCAAAAAAAAAAGAAGGTCTGTATGTACTTATTTACTTATTTATTTATTTATTTTTTATTTTTTATCTTTTATTTTTTTGAGATGGAGTCTCGCTCTGTCTCCCAGGCTGGAGTGCAGTGGCGCAATCTCGGCTCACTGCAAGCTCCGCCTCCCAGGTTCACGCCATCCTCCTGCTTCAGCCTCCCAAGTAGCTGGGACTACAGGTGCCCGCCACCACACCCGGCTAATTTTTTTTATTTTTAGTAGAGACGGGGTTTCACGGTGTTAGCCAGGATGGTCTTGATCTCCTGACCTCATGATCCACCCACCTTGGCCTCCCAAAGTGCTGTGATTACAGGTGTGAGCCACCGTGCCCGGCCCTGTATATACTTATTTAACAAATATTTACTGAGTATCTGCTGTGTATAAGAGAATGTGCTAGGTACCTGGGATATCCTTGTCTCACCATTTGGTAAACAGATAAAGTACCATCAAGTTTACATGAAGCTGACAATCCAGCCTGAAGTCCACTGTGGGGATTCACACTGAGTTGAGGTCTTAGAGTACTGATGGTAGAAACTGTCTGAGTAGCTAGAAACTACCTAAGAGTAAGTGGTGAGTCTGAGTTTTTTAGGTAGGATCTATGGCCGGATCTATGATATAGACATAGAAGAAATGAGAAAGCAAAGATCCGACCAAAGCTTCTAGTGCAAGAGACGTTATACATTAACCCAGAGATCAGAAAGGGAAGTTTGTACAGAATAGATGCTCAATAAATATTTGCTGAGTGTGGAAGTGTTTGATATTTGTAATAGCGTTCATAAAGTGTTCCAGTATATTTAATTTGTATGAATGAACTACATGTAATTAGTGATATAGAAACATAATATTTTAGGTCCACGAGGATGCAGCTGGGGGAAGTCCAGGGGAATTCTACAGGACAAGCAAACTGGTTCCTTCCACAAATAAATGGTGGGGTGGTGAGGGCAGATGGGAGGCAGATTAAAAAAGACACATCAACCAAAAACGATCTACGAACCATGTATAGATTCTGATTTGAATGAACTAACTATGAAATGACAATCATGGAAAAACTGAATATGGACAGCATATTAATGACGTGAAAGCATTTTGCTGATTTTTGTAGGGTGAAAAGGTATTATGTTTGTGTTTTATTTTTTATTTTCTTTTTGAGGTGGAGTTTTGCTCTTGTCGCCCAGCCTGGAGTGCAATGGTGCTATCTTGGCTCACTGTAACCCATGCCTCCTGGGTTCAAGTGATTCTCCTGTCTCGGCCTCTCAAGTAGCTGGGATTACAGGCACCCGCCACCACGCCGGCTAATTTTTTGTATTTTTAGTGGAGACATGATTTCAACCTGTTGGCCAGGCTGGTCTCGAACTCCTGACCTCAGGTGATCCACCAGCCTTAGCCTCCCAAAGTGCTGGGATTAAAGTGGTGAGCCACCACGCCCAGCCATGTTTGTGTTTTAGACAGAGAGAACAAAAGTTCCTTATCTATTAGACATACATAATGAAGTATTTACAGGAAGAATAAAGTGATGTCCCCAATTTATTTTAAAATACTCCAGAAAACAAAAAGTGAGAGGATAGATGAAACGAGAATGGCAAAATATTGATAATTGTTGAACTTGAGAGATGGCATACGAGGGCTCCCCATACTCATATATGCTTATTATTGATATGTTAAAAATTTTCCATAATTACCTGGGCATTGTGTCTCACACCTCTAATCCCAGCATGTTGGCAGGCCTAGGCAGGCAGATCCCTTGAGCCCAGGTGTTTGAGACCAGCCTGAGCAACATTGCAAAACCCTATCTCCTCAAAAATAAACAAAATAAACTGGGCATGTGTTGGAGCTTGTAGTCCCAGCTACTAGGAAGGCTGAGATGGGAGGATCACTTGAGCCTGGGAAGTGGAGGTTGCAGTGAGCTGAGATCATGCCACTGCACTCCAGCCTGGGCGACAGAGTGGAAAAAAAAGAGAAATATTTCTGTAATTAAAAGCTAAATTTAAAAAATGAGGAAGAAATCTTTTTTTTCTTTTTGAGACGGAGTTTCGCTCTTGTTGCCCAGGCTGGAGTGCAATGGTGCGATCTCGGCTCACTGCAGCCTCCACCTCCCGGGTTCAAGAGATTCTCCTGCTTCAGCCTGCTCTGAGTAGCTGGGATTACAGGCATGCGCCACCATGCCCGGCTAATTTTGTATTTTTAGTAGAGACGGGGTTTCTCCATGTTGGTCAGGCTGGTCTCGAACTCTAGAACTCAGGTGATCCTCCTGCCTCGGCCTCTCAAAGTGCTGGGTTTCCAGGTGTGAGCCATTGCACCCGGCCTGGAAATCTTAATAATTAAAAACTATAAAGAAAAATACAGGCTGGACACGGTGGCCTCTAATGCCGGCACTTTGGATGCTGAGGCAGGAGGAGCACTTAAACTTAAGAGTTTCTGACCAGACTAGACAATGTGGAAAAACACCATCTCTACTAAAAATATAAAAATTATCTGCTGGGCTCGGTGGCTCACGCCTGTAATCCCAACACTTTGGGAGGCCAAGGCAGGCAGTTTGAGACCAGTTTGGCCAACATAGTCACCCCATCTGTACTAAAAATCCAAAAAAATTAGCCGGGCATGGTGGCAGGCACCTGTAATCCCAGCTACTCAGGAGGTTGAGGCAGGAGAGTTGCTTGAACCCGGGAGGTGGAGGTTGCAGTGAGCCAAGATGGCACCACTGCACTCCAGCCTGGTGACAGTGCGAGACTCCATCTCAAAAAAAAAAAAAAGAAAAAAAAGAAAAAAATTATCCTGGCATAATGGCACATGCCTGCAGTCCCAGATACTCAGGAGGCTGAGGTTAGAGGTTTACTAAGCCCAGGGAGGTTGAGGTTGCAGTGATCCTTGATTGCACCACTGTACTCCATCCTAGGCGAAAGAGTGAGTCCCCGTCTCAAAACAAAAAAAATTAAAAAGGCCAGGCACGGTGGCTCACGCCTGTGATCTTAGCACTTTGGGAGACCAAGGAGGGTGGATCACCTGAGGTCAGGAGTTTGAGACCAGCCTGGCCAACATAGTGAAACCCCGTCTCTACTAAAATAAAAATAAAAATAAAAATAAAAATAAAAGTCGGGCATGGTGGCAGGTGCCTGTAGTACCAGCTACTCAGTAGGCTGAGGCAGGAAAATCCTTTGAACCCGGGAGGCAGAGGTTGCAGTGAGCTGAGATCATGCCACTGCACTCCAGCCTGGGTGACAGAGTGAGACTCTGTCTCAAAAAATAAATAAAATAATTTTAAAATTAAGGGACTGGCGTGGTGACTCACGTCTGTAATCCCAGCACTTTGGGAGGCCGAGGCGAGGCGGTTGGATCACCTGAGCTCAGGAGTTCAAGACCAGCCTGGTCAACATGGTGAAACTTTGTCTGTACTAAAAATACAAAAATTAGCTGGACATGGTGGCCTGCGCCTGTAATCCCAGCTACTTGGGAGGCTGAGACAGGAGAGACACTTGAGTCAGGAGGCGGAGGTTGTTGTGACCCAAGATCTTGCCACTGCACTCCAGCCTAGGTGACAGAGGGAGACTCTGTCTCAAAAAAAAAAAAAAATTACTTAAGAAACGTACAAATCTTAAGTACAAATTTCAGTTACTCAATAAATTGAAACTTCTTACTATTATCACCACTGTATGGGGCAAAAGTAGCAGACTAGTCAGTCAGTCATCAGTGGAATGGATCCTACTTGACTTGTAGTACTAACCAGCTATATGACCCTGGACACTCATACAACCTTTGCTTTCTTTTTTTTTTTTGAGACGAAGTCTCCCTCTGTCACCCAGGCTGGAGTGTAGTGGCGAGATCTCAGCTCACTGCAAGCTCTGCCTCCCAGGTTCACACCATTCTCCTACCTCAGCCTCCCGAGTAGCTGGGACTACAGGCACCCGCCACCACACCCGGCTAATTTTTGTATTTTTAGTAGAGACAGGGTTTCACTGTGTTAGCCAGGATGGTCTGGATCTCCTGACCTTGTGATCCTCCCGCCTCCGCCTCCCAAAGTGCTGGGATTACAGGTGTGAGCCACCATGCCTGGCTAACCTTTGCTTTCAAACCTGTAAAACAGAAATACAGTGCCACCACCTCTTCTACTCATCTCTCAGAACTGTGATGAGACGCGAATGAATAAGAGATATGGAATCCCCTTTCAGAAAGTAAAAACACTTACAAAATCAGGGGATTTTTTTCTTCCCCACATTGACAAATATTTGGGTTCTTTGGGAGTTTTTAACATATGGGTTAATTCAGAGTTACAGATATAGATTTTCATAAATTGGGTTTCTGAATTTCCAAAGTTAAAACTATAACCTCAGACAATGTATCACTTCAAGGTTTCATTTTATCCCAAGTCATATCATCATGAACACCAATTATTGTCCCTTTGGAGACAGCTGAGATAGGAGAAATTTAAGAATCAGAGCATATGAAACAAAGCTTTTAGAAGATAACATCTGCTGGGCAAGATCAGGGATGATATAAGGGAAGAATAAAAATTATGAGTCTTTCTCTAACAGTCCAAGCATGAAAAAATAAAGATAAAAATAAGTAAAAATTTTAAAAAATGATCAAGTCCAAAACGAATATTCCATAGGTTTTTGGGTTTTTTTTGAGACAGTCTCACTCTGTCGCTCAGGCTGGAGTGCAATGGCAGGATCTCCGGCTCACGGCAACCTCCACCTCCCGGGTTCAAGCAATTCTCCCAGCCTCAGCCTCCCAAGTAGCAGGGATTATAGGCACCTGCCAGCACGCCTGGCTAATTTTTGTATTTTTAGTAGAGACAGGGTTTCCCTATGTTGGCCAGGCCGGTCTCGAACGCCTGACCTCAAATGATCCACCCACCTTGGGCCTCCCAAAGTGCTGGGATTACCGGCATGAGCCACTGTGCCAGGCCCCTCATTAAGTCTTGAGTAGGAATAAACCTATCCCAGCTCTGAGGCATAGACCTTAATTGGCATATATAAATCAGTTTAAAGTTACCTACTCCTCTGCCGCAGTAATTGGGTGATGTATGGATAATAATCTAGACCCAAACCAGTTAACTCGTAGTATTTGCTTAGAGTAGTTCAGGGATGAGCCAATCACTGTCAAAGTACAAACTGGCCTGGTGCGGTGGCTCAAGCCTGTAATCCCAGCACTTTGCGGGGCCGAGGGGGCGGATCACCTGAGGTCGGGAATTCGAAACCAGCCTGACCAACATGGAGAAACCTGACTCTACTAAAAATACAAAATTAGCCGGGTGCGGTGGTGCATGCCTGTAATCCCGCTACTCAGGAGGCTAAAGCAGGAAAATTGCTTGAACCGGGGAAGCGGAGGTTGCGGTGAGCCGAGATCGCGCCGTTGTACTCCAGCCTGGGCAACAACAGTGAAACTCCGCCTTGAAAAAAAAAGAAAGAAAGAAAGTACAAACTGTTGGATGATTATGGAGAGCAGTGCTTTCTCCCCTTTCAGAGTAAGCCCTGGTTGCTGTAGGCGACAATCTTGCAGAGGAAGGAAGCCTGCTGAAGACAGGTGAACCACAGGTGGTGGGGGCTGGATCACAGGTGTGAGCCACCACACCTGGCCTATTCCATAGTTCTAACCTTCATTCAGTTGGCTAGTCATTCATTTATCAAATATTAAATAGCACATGCTGGCCAGGCGCAGTGGCTCTCACGCCTGTAATCCCAGCACTTTGGGATGCTGAGGTGGGTGGATCACTTGAGGTCAGGAGTCTGAAACTGGCCTAACCAACATGGTGAAACCCAATCTCTACTAAAAATACAAAATTAGCTGGGCGTGGTGGCACATTCCTGTAATCCCAGTTACTCAGGAGACTGAAGCTGGAGAATCACTTGAACCCAGGAGGCAGAGTTTGCAGTGAGCCGAGATCTCGCCATTGCACTCCACCCTGGGCGACAAGAGCAAAACTCCGTCTCAAAAAACAAAAACAAAAACAAGACTAGGGCATGTTAGGCTGGGTGCGGTGGCTCATGCCTGTAATCTCAGCACTTTCAGAGGCCGAGGTGGGTGATCATCTGAGGTCAGGAGTTCGAGACCAGCCTGACCAACATGGAGATACCCTGTCTCTATTAAAAATACAGGCCGGGCGCGGTGGCTCACGCCTGTAATTCCAGCACTTTGGGAGGCCAAGGTGGGCGGATCATGAGGTCAGGAGATCGAGTACATCCTGGCTAACATGGTGAAACCCCGTCTCTACTAAAAATACAAAAAATTAGCCGGGCGAGGTGGCAGGCACCTGTAGTCCCAGCTGCTCCAGAGGCTGAGGCAGGAGAATGGCGTAACCCAGGAGGTGGAGCTTGCGGTGAGCTGAGATGGCGCAACTGCACTCCAGCCTGGGTGACAGAGCAAGACTCCTTCTCAAAACAAAAACAAAAACAAAAAATTAGCTGGGCATGGTAGCTCATGCCTGTAGTTTTGGCTACTCGAGAAGCTGAGACAGGAGAATTGCTTGAACCTGGGAGGCGGAAGTTGCAGTGAGCTGAGATTGCGCCACTGTACTCCAGCCTGGGAAGTTGAGACTCTGTCTCAAAAAAAAAAATTAAATTAAAAAAAAAAAAAAAAAAAACTAGGGCATGTTTCAGCTATCTATAGCTGTGTAACAAACCATGTCAAAATGATGCCAAAATCTAGTGGTTTAAACACTTGACAGAGATGGGTCTTCCTTCCTCCAGATGGTGCTCGCTGGAGTGGCTTGACAGGCCTTGGAGAATCTGAAGTCACTGGCAGAATGTTCACTATGACTTCATTCACTTCTCTGATGCCTTAGGTGGCTGCAATGTGTGAAGGCTGGCTGGTCCCCTGCATCTTCACCTGATCTCTTACCATCCAGTAATCTGGCTCAGAGCCTCTTTTTTTTTTTTTTTTTGAGACAGGGTCTTGCTCTGTTGCCCAGGCTAGAGTGCAATGGCATGATCTTGGCTCACTGTAGCCTCAAACTCCTAGGCTCAAGCAATCCTTCTGCTTTAGCCTTCCAAGTAGCATACAGGTATGCACCACTACACCTGGCTATCAGACGACTTTACATGGCAGCTGATGGACAAGAGAAGGAAAAGGAAGTTGGGCTTCTTTTTTTTTTTTTTTTTTTTTTTGAGATAGAGTCTCGCTCTGTTGCCCAGGCTGGAGTGCAGTGGTGCCATCTCGGCTCACTGCAACCTCTGCCTTCCAGGTTCAAGCGATTCTCCTGCCTCAGCCTCCTGAGTAGCTGGGATTACAGGTGCCCACCACCACGCACAGCTAATTTTTTTGTATTTTTAGTAGAGACGGGGGGTTTTACCATGTTGGCCAGGCTGGTTTTGAACTCCTGACCTCAAGTGATCCACCCACCTGGGCCTCCCAAAGTGCTGGGATTACAAGCATGAGCCACCATGCCTGGCGAAGCTGGGCTCTTAACACCTGGGTTTAGAAGTCCCAGAATATTACCCTCACCACACTCTGTTGGTAAAAGCAATTTACAGACCCAGACTCAAGAGGAGGGGATCCTGCACCAGAGCTCCCCACTCTAAAAAAAAAAGGCGGGGGAGAGGAAATGGATTCCATCCGTTCCTGTTCACAGAAAGAATAATTTGTTGGTGGCTGTCCTCACAGATGATCCACCGAAGTGCTTAGCTAGGATTGCATGGTGGGAAGACCAATCTTTTCCCTGGGGAGGATGGATTGTAGCCAGGCAAGAGGCAGAAAGACCAGTTTGGAGGGTGTTGCAGTGGGACAAGTAATAGTTGAAAGTCTAGGCTAATGAAGGTCTAGGTTAAAGAAACAGAAGTGGATGGGTTTGAAAGGTGCTTTATAAAAAGAAAAATCGCCGGGCGTGGTGGCTCACGCCTGTAATCCCAGCACTTTGGGAGGCCGAGGCAGGCGGATCACAAGGTCAGAAGGTTGAGACCATCCTGGCTAACACGGTGAAACCCCATCTCTAATAAAAATACAAAAAATTAGCCGGGCGTGGTGGTAGGTGCCTGTAGTCCCAGCTACTCAGGAGGCTGAGGCAGGAGAATGGCGTGCACCCGGGAGGTGGAGCTCGCAGTGAGCCAAGATCCCACCACTGCACTCCAGCCTGGGCGACAAAGCGAGACTCTGTCTCAAAAAAAAATAAAAAAATAAAAAATAAATAAATAAAATAAAATAAATAAGAAGAATCAGGTGACTGATTGGCTGTTGGTGCTAGGGAGAATATGGGGAGGGAAGAGCCAAGAGGGACACCAGTGTTCCTACTTTCATTATTATTATTATTTTATATAAAGATGGGGCTTTGCTACATTGCCCAGGCTGGTCTTGAATTCCTGGACTTAAGCGATCCTCCTGTCTTGGCCTCCCAAAGTGCTAGGATTACAAATGTGAGCCACCAAATTCAACCCAGGGTTCCTACTTGATTTCAGAGCAGCTGCCCTTTGTTCTGTCAAATCCCTACATAACAAAGTCATTTTTATTCCTAGATGAATGTTATTTTTCAGCAATGCTTCAACTCTGCTAAGCAAGTTCTTTAGGTGAGGTTAGCTTGACCCCAAGAAATCCAAGTTAAATTTATTGTGCTTAAAAAGGGTCAGTCAGGGAGACTCTACATCAGTCAGGGAGACTGCAGAGTCAAGGAGGCCACGTGGCTGGTGGCTTTAAAAAGTTTGCTGAGAGCTGAAGAGGTCAGCTGGCCCCATTCCAACCTGCTCTACTCATGGAGAGGAGTCCCATGGAGAGGAGTCAGGCCAGGCTGTTCTGCCCTGTCTTGACCCTGCACTGCAGGGCTGTCTCCACTCCGGAGATCAGGAAAGTCAGACAGACCTATGTTCTCTCTGACAGGTAGCCACAGCCACCAGCTGGAGTAGGACTTAAAGTGACTGAAAGACTAAGAGGCTGCAGAAACCTTAGTGCCTGTCCCCAGAGAGCAGCATCTGTTTAGAAAGTTTTTTCTTTCAGAAGCTGAGCCGGGATGGTTCGGGATGAGAGAGCCGTGATTCTAGTCAGACGGGTCAATCAGGAAGCCCTGATTCTTGGAGTAAGAACTCTGTGGAAAAACAAAAGTGCAGCCAAGCAAGTGAGGTTCCTGTCTCCCCTCACCTGCAGCCAGTGATTGCAAGAATGGAAGGCTGGGTGGGACAGCCCCGGGGAGCATCTCTTCACCACTGATGCTTGTCCCTTTAAAATCTGGAGCAAGGCCGGGCGCGGCGGCTCACGCCTGTAATCCCAGCACTTTGGGAGGCCGAAGCGGGTGGATCACGAGGTCAGGAGATCGAGACCATCCTGGCTAACACGGTGAAACCCCGTCTCCACTAAAAATACAAAAAATTCTCCGGGCGTGGTGGCGGTCGCCTGTAGTCCCAGCTACTCCGGAGGCTGAGGCAGGAGAATGGCGTGAGCCCGGGAGGCGGAGCTTGCAGTGAGCAGAGATCGCGCCACTGCACTCCAGCCTGGGCGACAGAGCGAGACTCCATCTCAAAAAAAAAAAAAAAAAAAAAAAGTTAAAAAAAAAATCTGGAAAAACTCAGCTGTTTATTGATCCCTCAGGCTCTGGGGTAATTTCCAGTCGTACAAATAGATGCACCTAGATCTTGGGAAAGACCCACAACTGGGCTGAGGTGTTTTTGTAGTTGTTGGTTGGTTGGTTGTTTTTTTGAGATGGAGTTTCGCTCTTGTTGCCCAGGCTGGAGTGCAATAGCGAGATCTTGGCTCACTGCAACCTCTGCCTCCCGGGTTCAAGCGATTCTTCTGCCTTAGCCTCCCAAGTAGCTGAGATTGCAGCCATGCACCACCACGCCCGGCTAATTTTTTATTTTTAGTAGAGAAGGGGTTACACCATGTTGGTAAGGCTGGTCTCAAGCTCCCGACCTCAGGTGATCCGCCTCAGCCTCCCAAAGTGCTGGGATTACAGGCGTGAGCCACCGTGCCCAGCTGGGCTGGGGTTTTGTTTTGTTTTTCCCCTCTAAGCACCGAAACTAAGTTTTAAGGGAAGAAGGAACAACTATAGAAACCAAACATACCAGCTCCAGAGAGAAAACGTAACGTGTGTCCAAAAATGAAATAGTCATCTTTCAAGCCCAGTTTCCCCTCCAAAAACCGGTTTCCCATCCTAACTTCCCTGTTTCTCTCAACAGGAACAGCATTCTCTGAGCTGCCCAAGCTCACTCTTGTTTTTATTTTATTTTTATTTTTTGAGACGGAGTTTCAGTCTTGTTGCCCAGGCTGGAGTGCAATGGCCTCCTATCCGTCTGCTGTGAGCTTCTTCAGGAAAGAGCCCTCCACTCCACCTCAGGACACCAGAGTATCACCCTATAAATGAGGCTGAATGACTGAGCCTACTACCAGAGATCCTTTTGGGGTGGGGGTTCTTTTCTTGTTTGTTTGTTTTGATCCTTCCTTTTTTTTTTTAAACTTTTTGTGGAGAATGGGGTCTCGCTATGTTTGTTGCCCAGACAGGTCTTGGACTCCTGGGCTCAAGTCATCGTCTCACTTCTGCCTCCCTAAGTCCTGGCATTACAGGTGTGAGCTACTGCCCCCAGCTCTGGAGGTTCTTTTCTTCTTTTCCTCTCTACCTCCAATAACTTGTGCACAAGGCCCTCAGTCTTCCTTTCATCTGCCCTGTCCCCGAGACAACAGAAACCAAGGCACAGACTACTAAAGGGAAACAGTTCCAAGTGAATCTGGCATTCAGGGCTCCAGTAGACACCTCATACTCCACTCCAGCCCTTTCCCATTTCAAGGGCACCTTTGTCTCCAGGCTGAGGCTCCTGGAATATGCACAGATCTTGCTCCACGCCACTAGTGCCCTTTGTTTCGCCTTCCTCTCACTTTCTCCATTGTTCTGGAGACTTAAACGTCACTGTTAAATTTGAAAGTCCTACTCAAGTCCTGCCCTTTGTAGGAAGCTTTCTCAACCTGCTGGATCTCTCACTGCCTCTTTTCTGAATTGTATGGGATTTCTTTCTTTCTTTTGTTTTTTCCCAGTCTCGCTCTGTTGCCCAGGCTGGAATACAGTGGTGCGATCTTGGCTCACTGCAAGCTCCGCCTCCCGGGTTCACGCCATTCTCCTGCCTCAGCCTCCCAGTCCAGTAGCTGGGATTACAGGCACCCGCCACCATGCCCGGCTATGAATTCTATGATATTTCTTAATCTAATCTAAAATGTTTATTTGTACATAATCATAGGCCACCTTATGCTGTTATTTAATTTCTCTTGAGGATATAATTTTGTTCCTTATAGGCAAGGGTCATTTTTTACATGACTTTTTACTCCCTTCAATATCAAGATCAGGCATCAGACACAGGGGTTGGGCGCCGTGGCTCAGGCTTGTAATCCCAACACTTTGGGAAGACTAAGCGGATGGCTTGAGCCCAGGACTTTGAGACCAGCCTGGGCAACATGGTGAAACCCCATTTCTCTCTCTTTTTTTTGTTTTTTAAAGAGAGATCAGATACATAACAGGTCCTTAATATATCTACAACAAATTAGGGGAAAATATGAAATTTTGGGACAGCAAGAAACATATTAACATTTAACGTCAGCAAACTATCAGGAGTTGGGAATGAAGTAGAACCCAAAGTCGAACCCTCTTGGGGTTTGTAGTCTAATGAAGGGAGGTAATTAGACAATCACACATAAATACCCTTTAACACCAGTGACTGAAGAAAAACACTATAGGCTGGGCGTGGTAGCTCACGCCTGTAATCACAGCACTTTGGGAGGCAGAGGAAGGTGGATCACGAGGTCAGGAGATCGAGACCATCCTGGCCTATATGGTGAAACCCCGTCTCTACTAAAAATACAAAAATTAGCTGGGCATGGTGGTGCGCACCTGTAGTCCCAGCTACTCAGGAGGCTGAGGCAGGAGAATCGCTTGAACCTGGGAGGTGGAGGTTGCAGTGAGCTGAGATCACGCCACTGCACTCCAGCCTGGCAATGGAGTGGGATTCTGAAAAAAAACAAAACAACAACAAAAACCACTATAGTTGAAGAGAGTGTTATCTATAACGAAATTTACTAGGTAGTTTGGGAAATTAAAATCTTATAAAGGAGCTGCCAGTCAGGTGCAGTGGCTCGAGCCTGTAATCCTAGTACTTTGGGAGGCCGAGGAGGATGGTTCACCTGAGGTCAGGAATTCAAGACCAGCCTGGCCAACATGGTGAAACCCCGTCTCTACTAAAATATAAAAATTAGCCAGACATGATGGCGGTTGCCTATAATTCCAGCTACTTGGGAGGCTGAGACAGGAGAATCACTTGAACCTGGGAGACAGTGGTTGCAGTGAGCCGAGATTGAGCCACTGCACTCCAGCCTGGGCAGCTGAGCAAGACTCCATAAAAAAAAAAAAAAAAAAAAGGAGCTGCTAGGCCAGAATCGGTTTGCAGCTTCCTTGCTGGTTCCTTCCACATCACTCCTGCAAGGAACAGGGAACTAAAACATCTACATAAACCTGAATTCTCAAACCTGAATGAACCTCACAGTTCCCTAGCCAGCTTGTTAAAACACACATTGCTGGGTGCCCCCCCACCCGCCGCCCCAGTTTCTCATTCAGAAGGGCTGGGTAATTTGCATTTACAACAAATAATAAGAGACCCTGATACCCCTGGTCTGGGGAAGAAACCCTGAGAATTTATGGGCTGGACCTTCTTGGAAACTTATCATGGGCACTGATGTACAATTTCTGTATGTCTTTTTTTTCCATGTGCATATCTGGTTTTTTTGTTTTTTTGTTTTTTTGTTTTTTTTTTTTTTTTTTTGAGACAGAGTCTCACTCTGTCGCCCAGGCTGGAGTGCAGTGGTATGATATCAGCTCACTGCAACTTCCACCTCCTGGGTTCAAGCCATTCTCCTGCCTCAGCCTCCTGAGTAGCTAGGACTACAGGTGCATGCCACCACGCCCAGCTAATTTTTTGTATTTTCTTATAGATGGGGTTTCACTGTGTTGCCCAGGCTGGTCTGGAACTCCTGAGCTCAGGCAATCCACCTGCCCCAGCCTCCCAAAGTGCTGGGATTACACACGTGAGCCACCACACCTGGCCCTTTTTTTTTTTCATGTAGACTGCAGTCTCCCACAGGGCAGGCAGTATTTTATTGAGGATATACTTTTGTTCCTTATAGGCAAGGGCCATTTTTTACATGACTTTTTACTCCCTTCAATGTCAAGATCAGACATCACACACAGGGGCTGGGCGCCGTGGCTCATGTCTGTAATCCCAACACTTTGGGAGGACTAAGCAGATGGCTTGAGTCTTTTTTTTTTTTTTTTTTTGAGACAGAGTCTAGCTGTGGCCCAGGCTGGAGTGCAGTGGTGCGATCTTGGCTCACTGCAACCTCTGCCTCCCAGGTTCAAGCGATTCTTCTGCCTCAGCCTCCTGAGTAGCTGGGATTACAGGCGCGCAACACCATGCCCAGCTAATTTTTGTATTTCAGTAGAGACAGGGTTTCACCATGTTGGCCAGGCCAGTCTCGAACTCCTGACCTCAAATGATCCATCCACCTTGGCCTCCCAAATTGCTAGGATTACAGGTGTGAGCCACCAAGCCCAGCCTTTTTTTTTTTTTTTTGAGTTGGAGTTTTTGCTCAGGCTGGAGTGCAATGGCAGGATCTTGGCTCACTGTAACCTCTGCCTCCCGGATTCAAGCTATTTTCCTGCCTGAGACTCCCAAGTAGCTGGGATTACAGGAATGTGCCACCATGCCTGGCTGATTTTGTATTTTTAGTAGAGACAGGGTTTTACCATGTTGGCCACGCTGGTCTCGAACTCCTGACCTCAGGTGATCCACCTTGCTTGGCCTCCCAAAGTGCTGGGATTACAGGTGTGAGCCCCTGTGCCCGGCTGAATTCAATATATTTTTGAAAGCTAGAGAAGAAAGCAAATTGAGTCCTTAATGGCAAAAATAAGGGAAAAAAATTTGCATTCTTTCAAGTCGTGGCCAAATTAATGGAAATAAGTAGTACCGGTATTCATAGTAGGACCTTCTGAGTAAGCCAATTCTCCTCCATAGGACTGAATTATTCTCAAATTAAAATAATCATCCATGAGGTCTACATTTCATGACTTAGTCCATCCATGCATACAACCCAATTCCTACCACAATCTGAATCAGTTTAAACATGATTGAACGTCACTATGCAGGATTTATCATATTTGCGACAGGAAAAACATTCGGTTTGGCAGGAAACAAATGATATTACAGGGCCCAAAGGTGAGTAATTGGCCCTAATGACTTGGAAATAAATTTGAATTCGCATTGGGTAGGCTGTATAAATATATACTGTATAACTGAATGCCTGGTGCTTTGGGGGGACAAGCGGGGTGGGAGTGGGGGGCGAGGGGAGGGGAGAGCATTGTTGTCAGCCTCTCCCTTGCAGCTGGTGCCATTCCTACTTTCTTCTCCTCCCCAAGCTGAATGACAGTAGGTTAAAGGAACTGTTGAAGCACAGACAATGAGCAAAGAAAGTGGCAATTCACAGCCTATTAACCTTGGATTTTGGAAGTTGTGCCACCCCCCCACCCCGACTCTCCACTACAGCTGGCTTTAAAATCACAGCTTTTAAGGATTCGCCTCCAGGTCTAAGGTGGGAGTTACGCTTTTGGTTAAGAGTGACCAAGAATTGAAAGAATTTCCTGGGAGTCCTGGAAAGGTAACTCAGGTGGAGAAAGTCTTCTTGGTGGATCAGAGATCAGATGCAGGGGCTGGGTGTGGTGGCTCATGTCTGTAAACTCACCACTTTGGATCAGAGTCCGAATGCATGGCAGGGACGGCACTTGGTAACTGTAATTTATGTGCCTTTGCTTCCAAGTGTTCAGAGAAATGGGTATGAAGACAGCAGCCTTATTTCAGAGGACATTGATTGATTCAGTCATTCTGAAAATATTTATTGAGAGCTTGTTCTGCCCTTCATTGGATGCACAGCCAAGAATGGAACAAAGAGGCCGGCACAGTGGCGCCTGTAATCTGAGCACCCTGGGAGGCCGAGGCAGGTGGATCACCTGAGGTCAGGAGTTTGAGACCAGCCTGGCCAACCTGGTGAAACCATTTCTACTAAAAGTATGAAAATTAGCCAGGTGTGGGAGTATGCACCTGTAATCCCAGCTACTCGGGAGGCCGAGGCAAAATAAACTCTTGAACCTGGGAGGCGGAGGTTGCAGTGAGCCCAGATCGCGCCACTGCATTCCAGCCTGGGCGACAGAATGAGACTCTGTTTCAAAAAAAAAGAGAAAAGAATGAAACAAAGGCTTTGCCCTCATGCAACTTGCAGTCTCAAATGTCTTTCCAAGCTACGGTGACTAACCTCACTGGTATGCCCAGGACTGAAATTTCTGGAATGTAGGGCTTTCAGTGCTAATACCAGAAAGTTCCTAGCAAATCAAAACTAGGCTGTTTGCTTTTAAAATTTTTTTTACAGGCCTGGTACAGTGGTTCACACCTGTAATCCCAGCACTTTGGGAGGTTGATGCAGGAGAATCACTTGAGCCCAGAAGTTTGAGACCAGCCTGGTCAACATAGCAAGACTCCATCTCTACAAAAAAAATTAAAACATTAGGCTGGGCATGGTGGCTCATGCCTGTAATCCCAACACTTTGTTTTGTTTTGTTTTGTTTTGTTTGAGATGGAGTCTCACTCCTGTTGCCCAGGCTGGAGTGCAGTGTCGCGATCTCGGCTCACTGCAATTGCCACCTCCCAGGTTCAAGCAATTCTCCTGCCTCAGCATCCCAAGTAGCTGGGATTACAGGCGCACACCACCATGCCAGGCTAATTTAATCCCAGCACTTTGGGAGGCTGAGGCTGGTGGATCGTTTGAGGTCAGGAGTGCAAAACCAGCCTGGGCAACATGGAGAAACCAGTCTGTACTAAAAATAGAAAAATTAGCCAGATGTGGTGGCCGGCACCTGTAATCCCACTTACTCAGGAGGCTGAAGCAGGAGAATTGCTTGAACCCGTGAGGCAGAGGTTGCTGTGAGCCGAGATTGTGCCACTGCACTCCAGCCTGGGTGACAGAGCGAGATTCTGTCTCAAACAAAAAAAAAACAAAACAACAACAACAACAACAGCAAAAGGCCAGGCACGGTGACTCACGCTTGTAATCCCAGCACTTTGGGAGGCCGAGGCAGGCGGATCATGAAGTCAGGAGATCGAGACTATCCTGGCTAACATGGTGAAACCCCGTCTCTACTAAAAATACAAAGACTTAGCCGGGAGAGGTGGCAGGCGCCTATAGTCCCAGCTACTTGGGAGGCTGAGGCAGGAGAATGGCGTGAACCTGGGAGGCCGAGCTTGCAGTGAGCTGAGATGGCACCACTGCACTCCAGCCTGGGCGACAGAGCGAGACTCCGTCTCAAAAAAAAAAAAAAATTAGCTACACATGGTGGCACGCACCTGTAGTCCCAGCTACTCTGGAGGGTGAGGTGAGGATCACTAGAGCCCAGGAGATCCAGGCTGCAGTGAGCCATGAGCTCACCACAGCACCCTAGCTTGGGTGACAGAGTGAGATCCTGTCTCAAAAAAAAAATAAAAAAGTTTTAGAGTCAGACTTTCTCTATGCTGCCCAAGCTGAGCTCAAGAAATCCTCTTGTCTCAGCCTCCTGAGTAGCTGGGACGGCAGACATGTGCCACCATGCATGGCTCATGGTTGGTTTTTCAAATTATTGTCAAGTGTTATAAAAATTTGAGTTGTTCTTTTAAAATATAGTATAAACTCATCTACTAAATCAGCAAAATGAAATACCTTCGCTGCTTCTTTATTTTACTTATTATTATATTTTTATATATTTACTTATATTTTTATTATATTTACTTATTATTAATTTTAGATGGAGTCTTGCTCTGTTGGCAGGCTGGAGTACAGTGGCATGATCTCGGCTCACTGCAACCACCACCTCCCGGGTTCAAGCGATTCTCCTGCCTCAGCTTCCCAAGTAGCTGGGATTACAGGTGCATGCCACCAGGCCCAGGTAATTTTTCTATTTTCAGTAGAGATGGGGTTTTGCCATGTTGGCCAGGCTGGTCTCCAGCTCTTGACCTTAAGTGATCCACTCACCTCAGCCTCCCAAAGTGCTGGGATTACAGGCATGAGCCACTGTGCCTGGTCTGCTTCTTTATTTTAAAATGTGGGGCTAAAAAAACCTTTTTAAAAAAGATTTGGGAACAGCTGGGCATGGCGGCTCATGCCTCTAATCCCAGCACTTTGGGAGGCCGAGGAGGGCGGATCACGAGGTCAGGAGATCGAGACCATCCTGGCTAATACGGTGAAACTCCATCTCTACTAAAAAATACAAAAAAAAAAAAAAAAATTAGCCGGGCGTGGTGGTTGGCCCCTGTAGTCCCAGCTACTTGGGAGGCTGAGGCAGGAGAATGGCGTGAACCCAGGAGGCGTATGTTGCAGTGAGCCAAGATCGTGCCACTGCACTCCAGCCTGGGCGATAGAGTGAGACTCCGTCTCAAAAAAAAAAAAAAAAAAACAAAAAAAAGATTTGAGTCTTGCTATGTCTCCCAGGCTGGATTGCGGTGGTACAATCATAGCTCACTGCAGCCTCAAACTCTGAGGCTCAAGCAATCCTTCTGCCTCAGCCTCCTGAGTAGCTGGGACCACAGGTGCCACCATGCCCAGATAACTTTTACATTTTTTGTAGAGATGGGGTCTTGCTATGTTGCCCAGGCTGGTCTCAAGCTCCTGAGCTCAAGTGATCCTCTAACCTCGGCCTCTCAAAGTGTTGGCATTTCAGGTGTGAGCCATTTCGCCTAGCTGATGTGGTGACTTAAACAACAAAAATTTATTTCCTCACAGTTTTGGAAGCTGTAAGTCTGAGATCAAGGTGTCAGAAGGATTGGTTTCTCTTAGAGCCTGTCCCTTTCACTAAAGCTGGCTGTCTTCTTCCTGTGTCCTTATAAGCTCTTCCCTCTTCGTGTCTATGTCTTAATCTCTCTCTCTTTTTTTTTTTTTTTTTTTTGAGGCGGAGTCTCCCTCTGTCTCCCAGCATGGAGTGCAGTGGTGCAATCTCGGCTCACCATAACCTCCATCTCCCGGGTTCAAGTGATTCTCCTGCCTCAGCCTCCCGAGTAGCTGGGACTACAGGCATGCTCCACTATGCCCAGCTAATTTTTGTATTTGTATTTTTAGTAGAGACGGTGTTTCACTATATTGGCCAGGCTGGTCTTGAACTCCTGACCACGTGATCCGCCCGCCTCGGCCTCCCAAAGTGCTGGAATTATAGGCTTGAGCCACCGCGCCCGGCCTTTTTTTTTTTTTTGGACACAGGGTCTCACTGTCACAGCAAAGCTGGAGTGTAGTGGTGTGATCATGGCTCACTACAGCCTTGCACTTCTGGGCTCAAGCGATCCTTCCACCTCAGCCTCCCAAGTAGCTGGGATTACAGGCGTGTGCCAACTGTAATGTAGAGTTAATTTTTTATTTTGAGACAGAGTTTTGCTCTTGTTGCCCAGGCTGGAGTGCAAGGGCACAATCTCCGCTCACAGCAACCTCCACCTCCCGGGTTCAAGCAATTCTCCTGCCTCAGCACCTGCTGCCTTACAGGCACCTGCTGCCACATCTGGCTAATTTTGTATTTTTAGTAGAGACAGCGTTTCTCTATGTTGATCAGGCTGGTCTTGAACTCCTGAGCTCAGGCAATCCACCCGCCTCAGCCTCCCAAAGTGCTGGGATTATAGGCATGAGCCACCGCGCCCGGCCATGTGGGGCTAATTTTTAATTTTTTTGTACAGATTGGGGTCTCACTATTTGCCTAGGTTGGTCTCAAACTGCTGGGCTCAAGCGATCCTCCCCAGTCTGCCTCCCAAAGCATTGAGATTAGAGATGTGAGCCACCGCACTCAATCGACTCCTCTTATAAGGACACCAGTCATCTCAGGTTGAAGCTCACCCATATGACCTCATTTTAACTTAATTACCTCTTTACAGACTCTATTTCCAAAGTCAGTCATATTCTGAGGTACTGGGGACTATGACTTCAACATACGAATTTTTGGGGGGAACAATTCAATCCAACAGCAGAAGACAGGTATCATTTGTCAGCTGAATATATCTATCCTCATCTTGAATTTTAGATTCACATTTTGTATTGAAAATGTTTGAAAAGCTGGGCATGGTGGCTCAGGTCTGCCATCCTCCAACTTTGGGATGCCAACGTGAGAGGACTGTTTGAGCCCAGGAGTTCGAGACCAGCCTGGACAATATAGCAAGACCTGTTTCTACAAAAAATAATTTTTTTTTTTTTTGAGACAGAGTCTTACTATGTCACCCAGGCTGGAGTGGAGTGGCGTGATCTCAGTTCACTGATACCTCCGCCTCCTGGGTTCAAGGGATTCTCTTGCCTCAGCCTCCCGAGTAGCTGGGACTACAGGTGCATGCCACCATGCCCAGCTAATTTTTTGTATCTTTAGGAGAGGCAGGGTTTCACCATGTTAGCCAGGATCGTCTCCATCTCCTGACCTCGTGATCTGCCCACCTAGGCCTCCTAAAGCGCTGGGATTACAGGCGTGAGCCACTGTGCCTGGCCAACAAGTTTTTGTTTTTTTAGGGTCTGTTGCTGAGGCTGGATTCGAACTCTTGGGCTCAAGGGACCCTCTGGTGCAACCTCCTGAATAGCTAGAACTACGGGTGTATGCTGCCATGCCTGGCTAACATAAAAGTATTTTATATCCGCTTTGGATAGTTCACACAAAGAGTTCTGGCTGGAAAGCCAAATAGAGATATTTTAAATGCCACTTGTTAACCATTTTCACTTCCTCAATAATTGCAACTCCTTGCTGGTAGCTGGCCTATTTGAAAGGGTACCTCAGATGCAGAGAATGATTTTTGAACAAAATGGTAAATGGCAGTATCACATGTCAATTTATGTATTTATGTATGTATGTATTTATTTTTTGAGACAGGGTCTTGCTCTGTCATCCAGGCTGGAGTGTAATGGCATGATTGTGGCTCACTGCAGCCTTGACTTTCTAGGCTCAGGTGATCCTTCCACCTTAGCTCCGTGAATAGCTGGGACTATAGGCATGAGCCACCAAGCCTGCTTAATTTATTTTTTTTGAGATGTAGTCTCACTCTGTTGCCCAGGCTGGAGTGCAGTGCTGCATGATGTCGGTTCACTGCAACCTCCGCCTCCCAGGTTCAAGCAATTCTCTGCCTCAGCCTCTGGAGTAGCTGGGATTACAGGTGCCCGCCACCATGCCCAGCTAATTTTTATATTTTTAGTAGAGATGGGGTTTCACCATCTTGGCCAGGCTGGTCTTGAACTCCTGACCTCATGATCCACCCACCTCAGCACCCCATAGTGCTGGGATTACAGGCATGAGCCACTGCACCTGGACTTTTTTTTTTTTTTTTTTTTTTAAGACATGGGGCCTCACTACATTGCCCAGGCTGGTTTTTTTTGTTTGTTTGTTTGTTTTTTTTTTTTTTTTTTTTTTTGAGACAGAATTTTGCTCTTGTTGCCCAGGCTGGAGTGCAGTGGCGCGATCTCAGCTCACCGCAACCTCCGCCTCCTGGATTCTATCAATTCTCCTACCTCAGCCTCCGGAGTAGCTGGGATTACAGGCATGCGCCACCACACCCAGCTAATTTTGTATTTTCAGTAGAGACGGGGTTTCTCCATGTTGGTCAGGCTGCTCTAGAACTCCTGACCTCAGGTGATCTGCCTGCCTCAGACTCCCAAAGTGCTGGGATTACAGGTGTGAGCCACTGCGCCCGGCACCCAGGCTGGTCTTGAACTCCGGGTTTCAAGTGATTCTCCCACCTTGGCCTCCCAAAGTGCTGGGATTATAGGCATGAGCCACCTGGTCTGGCCCATTTACTTATTTAACAAGCATTTATCTCCTATGGGACAGGTACTTTGCTGGGTAAGTGGGGAGATGTAGAGTAGAAGTAATGTGAATATGACCCTTACATCTGAGGCCTGGGAAAATCTGGGACAGTCCCAGGCATACTGACATGACTTGCGAAATCTCCAATCTCCAAGGATCTGCTCTATAGTAACTTCCAAAAATGTGGCTCCTTCCTTCTGGTTTTTCTTGCCTTCTAGGATAAGAGAATTCCAGGTTACCTGTTTTGGGTCAAAGGATGCTTTGGAGATACAAACTCTATCAACTGGGCCCCTGGTCTCACCTTCAAAAATATCAATTCAAACACTCAGAGTGCCAAAAGCATAACTGTGACCAATGTGTGTCCTATTTATATCTGTCTGTCTGGCTGTCTCTTTTGAGGTTTCTTTTTTTGTTTTTTTAGAGCTAGGGTCTTGCTCTGTTGCCCAGGCTGGAGTGCAGTGGTGCGATCATAGCTCACTGCAACCTCAAAGTTCTGGACTCAACTGATCAGTCCTCCTGCCTCAGCTCCCAAGTAGCTGTGACTATTGTGCCTTTGTGCCTGGCTAAGTTTAATACTTTTTTTTTTTTTTTGAGATGGAGGTTTTTGTTTTTTGTTTTTTGTTTTGTCTGTTGCCCAGGCTAGAGTACAATGGTATGTTCTCAGCTCACTGCAACATCTGCCTTCTGGGTTCAAGTGATTCTGCTGCCTCAGCCTTCCAGGTAGCTGGGACTAAAGGTGTGTACCACCACACCCGACTGATTTTTGTTTTTTTGTGTGTGTTTTTTTTTTTTTTTTGAGACGGAGTCTCACTCTGTCATCCAGGCTGGAGTGCAGTGGCACAATCACGGGCTCACTTCAACCTCTGCCTCGCGGGTCCAAGTGATTCTCCTGCCTCAGCCTCCCGAGCAGCGGGGGTTACAGGCACCCGCCACCACACCCGGCTAATTTTTTTTTTGTATTTTTAGTAGAGATGGGGTTTCACCGTGTTAGCCAGGATGGTCTCGATCTCCTGACCTCACGATCCGCCCGCCTCAGCCTCCGAAAGTGCTGGGATTACGTGAGCCACAGCGCACGTCCAAATTTTTGTGTTTTTAGTAGAGACGAAGTTTCGCCATGTTGGCCAGGCTGGTCTCGAACTCTTGACCTCAGGTGATATGCCTGCCTTGGCCTTCCAAAATGCTGGGACTGCAGGCATGAGCCACCGTGCCAGGCTGTAAATGTTTTGAATATAGTCATTATTTGGGGAAAAATTTGGAAACTGTTTTTCCCCTACTCACATACCACCACAATAATCATCAACACAGAAGTTTTCTGGGACCAAATGAATGGAGGTTTTCCCTATACACCAAGAAGCAGACACCAGCTGAGAGTCCTTTGATTCAATTCCAACACTATCCACCTGGGGATAGCCTCAGATCCCACAGGTTGAAGGCTCAGTCCCCAAGACTCATCCCCAACACCATTTGTAAGTCCGGGCCTGTGGAACTTCTGACCAACCAGCTTTGAGTTGGGTGGGGTTCCCATGACGCTCTCTTGGGTTTGATTAATTTGCTAGAGGGGCTCACAGAACTCGGGGAAACAATTACTTACATTTACTAGCTTATTATAAAGGATACTACAAAGGATGCAGATGAAGAAATGTGTGGGGCAAGGCATGGCGGAGAGGGTGGAGCATCCGTGCACTCCCCAGTGTGCCACTCTCCAGGAACCTCCACTTGGTCAGCTATATGGAAGCTCCCTGAACCCAGTCCTCTTGTTTTGTTTTGTTTTTTAAATTTTCTGAGATAAGGTCTCCTCTCTCTGTCCCCCAGGCTGGAGTTCAGTGACACTATCACAGTGCACTGCAGCCTTGACCTTCTGAGTTCAAGTGATCCTCCTACCTCAGCCTCCCAAGTAGCTGGTACTACAGGTACTCGCCACCACACCTAGCTAATTTCTTTTTTTTTTTGAGAGTGACTTTCGCTCTGTCACCCAGGCTGGAGTGCAATGGCACAATCTCCGCTCCCTGCAACCTGTGTCCCCCAGGTTCAAGTGATTCTCCTGCCTCAGCTTCCTGAGTAGCTGGGATTATAGTGCCAGCCACCATGCCTGGCTAATTTTTGTATTTTTATTTTTAGTAGAGATGGGGTTTCATCGTGTTGGCCAGGCTGGTCTTGAACTCCTGACCTCAGGTGATCTACCTTCCTCGGCTTCCCAAAGTGTTATGATTACAGGCATAAGCCACTGCTCCCGGACTAATTTTTTTTTTTTTTTTTTGAGAGACTGGGTCTTGCTCTGTTGCCCGGGCTAGTTTCAAACTCCTGGCCTCAAGCGATCCTCCCGCCTAGGTCTACCGGAGTGTTGAGATTATAGGTGTAAGCCACTTTGCCAGGACCCTCTTGGATTTTTATGGAAGCTTCATGAATCCAGCATTCCTTCCCCTAGGGTATATATGGTGGACCCTTTAAGACCCAGAATCCGAAAGATGAGGGGTGGGGGAAGCCCTGGCGAGGTGGCTCATGCCAGTAATCCTAGCATTTCGGGAGGCCAAGGCCGGAGGATTGCTTGAACTCAGGAGTTTCAGGCCACAGGGAGCTATGATTACACAACTACACTCCAGCCTGGGCAACTGAGTGAGACCTTGTCTCAAAAAAGTAAAAAGAAAAAAGAAAAGCAGATTAGTGTCTTGCACTGGGGCAGGTGAAAGAAGGGCAGGAGAAGCCGGGCACGGTGGTTCACACCTGTAATCCCAGCACTTCGGGAGGCTGAGGCGGGCGGATCACCTGAGGTCGAGAGTTCGAGAGTTCGAGACCAGGCTGACCAAAATGGAGAAACCCCGTCTCTACTAAAAATACAAAATTAGCCGGGCATGGTAGCACATGGCTGTAATCCAGCTACTTGGGAAGCTGAGGCAGGAGAATCGGTTGAACCCAGGAGGCGGAGGTTGTGGTGAGCCAAGATTTGGAGCCATTGCGCTCTAGCCTGGGCAACAAGAGTGAAACTCCATCTCAAAAAAAAAAAAAAAAAATAGGCAGGAGAAAGTCAGAGAGCAACTGTTTCCTGAGGCCTGTCCCTGAGACCTAGCAAGCCCAACATTATAACAAGAGATTATAACAAAGGCTATGGGAATAGGCCTGGCGAGGTGGCTGAGACCTGTAATCCTAGCACTTTGGGAGGCCAAGGCCAGTGAATCCCTTGAGCTCGAGCTCAGGAGTTCAAGACCAGGCTGGCCAACATGTAGAAACCTTATCTCTACAAAAAATACAAAAAGTAGCTGGGTGTGATGGCGCACACCTCTAGTCCCAGCTACTTGGGAGGCTGAGGTAGGAGGATCACTTGAGCCTTGGGGGGTGGAGACTAATACACACATAAAATAATATCACACACATAAAATAATATCACAGTCATAATCTATTAGATTTGGAAGAGTGTTAGAGTCCATCTAGGTCAATCCCCTTTTTTCACAAATGAAGAAAATGAGGCATAGTGACATCACAAAAAGCTGAGATGAAACCTCAAGTGTCTAGATTTCCAGTATAATCTTCCCAGTAGCCATATTGTATTAAATAACCACATTGATTTTATAGTTTTCCTCTTTGTATTTGTTTAGAATCATAAATGCCTAAAGTTTTCTAGGTAACATACACTGTTTGAGAACCCTCAATTTCGTAATCGTGTACACATGGACACATAAAAACACTGTCTTTTTTTTTTTTTTTCTTTTTTTGAGACGGAGTTTCGCTCTTGTTGCCCAGGCTGGAGCGCAACGGCACGATCTCGGCTCACCAAAACCTCTGCCTCCCGGGTTCAAGCTGTCCTCCTGCCTCAGCTTCCCAAGTAGCTGGGATTACAGGCATGCGCCAACACGTCCGGCTAATTTTGTATTTTTAAGTAGAGACGGGGTTTCTCCATGTTGGTCAGGTTGGTCTCGAACTCCTGACCTCAGATGATCTGCCTGCTTCGGCCTCCCAAAGTGCTAGGATTATAAGCATAAGCCACCGAGGCTGGCCAAAACACTTTTTTTTTTTGAGACGGAGTCTCACTCTGTTGCCCAGGCTGGAGTGCAGTGGTGTGATCTCAGCTCACTGCAACCTCAGTCTCCTGGGTTCAAGAGATTCTCCTGCCTCAGCCTCCTGAGTAGCTGGGATTACAGGCACATGCCGCCACATCCAGCTACTTTTTGTATTTTTAGTAGAGACGGGGTTTCACCACGTTGGCCAGGATGGTCTCAATCTCCTAACCTCGTGATCCACCCGCCTCGGCCTCCCAAAGTATTGGGATTACAGGCATGAGCCATCGTGCCTGGCCAAAATATTTTTTTTTTAAAATGAATGTTTGACAATTGAGAGAAAGACCAAAAGCAGGAAATTAATAATCCACTAAGTTTCAGTCACAATGTAACTGCCAATGTTTGAATCTTTTCTGTTTCACTCTATGTGTCTGTGTGTAGGATCGGAAAGGGAGATGGCACTGGGTTTCTGTAAGGTGTGAGTGAATCTTGGGTTTTGGAAACACTGAGATTTCAGAAAACAGAATATAAATTGTAGATGTCCCAATTTGGCAAGAGATAAGCTCTGTTTTTGTTTAGAAAATTCTATAGATTCATAGATAAGAAACTATGGGCAAAAGTGTTTGATACGTAGATCAACCAGTATTTAGGCAGGGATCATGTCTGTGAAAACCTTGAAGTGTGCAAGGTGGGGTAAATGAGAGAGTAGCTCTAGACTGAGCTGGACTGGTCTATCATCCAATGAATCTCTAGGATTCTGATGGTGAAAAGGTTATTTTCTCCTTTCCTGCTCACTTCTGTGGCCCTGACAGAGGGAAGAACTAGTAGCTTCTGTGGTAGACTATATATATATATATATATATATTTTTTTTTTTTTTTTTTCTTTTTTGCTCCCTGGAGTGTTTGTCTCCCTCCCCTTTGGATAACAAAATCTGCTCTACCCGCCATGTCCATGGTGGGAAAGGAGTTTTCTTTTTTGTTTTTTGAAACAGTCTCGTTCTGTTGCCCAGGCTGGAGTGCAGTGGCGGGATCTCGGCTCCATGCAACCTCTGTCTCCTGGGCTAAGCGATCCTCCCACCTCAGCCTCCTCAGTAACTGGGATTACAGGCACGTGCCACCATGCCAGGCTAATTTTTGTATTTTTAGTAGAGAGGGGTTTTGCCCTGTTGACCAGGCTGGTGTCGAACTCCTGGGCTCAAGTGATCCGCCCGCCTCGGCCTCCCAAAGTGTTGGGATTACAGGCATGAGCCACTGTGCCTGGCCGCAAAGGAGTTTTCTTTGGCGCTATCATCTCTGCTGGTTGGAGAGGATGACAGAAGAAGGAAATGCTGAGATGAATGGAGAGAAAAAGAGAATGAAGGAATGAAGGAAGGACGATGACATCCTTTGTAGCCCTGAAACTCGGACTCTGGGTTTCCAGATAGGTGAGCCAAGCCCCTCTTCCTTTTTTTCCATAAGCCATTTTCATCTGGGCTCCATTCACCTGCAACTGAAGGCATCCTGATTCATACAGCTCCTCCCCCTTTCCCTGCCTACTCACAGGATCCCTGTAATCCCTATACCTCAGTTTCCTCATACTGATCCCCTGTGGATTAGTTGATCACTGATAAAGTTGATTTTTCCCACCAAACACAGAGTGCAGTATTATTATAAACAGTAACGTCTATTCTTAGGAACTGCAGGTTTCCCGTCTTGGCTGCTTTACCAGAGTTTCTGAATCAGGGCCAGCTCTCTTTCAATAACACAAGACAATCTAAGCAGAATAGTAATGATAGTCCAAAATTTTTACACAATCCAAAGTACCAGCGACTTTCAGTGACTTGTATAAACAAGGTCCACAGACGACCAGTAGGGTTGAAAGCATCATTTTATTGTATTTGGTTTGTGCTGTGGCATTTTATTGAGGCTTGACAAATAAGACTGTAATTTGGGGACAGGAAGCACTGAATAACAAAAAGAACTAATGTCTCCTTGACATCACTCACTCTTAAGAGGGCTGTTTACATCTGAGTTTACCTCCTAGTGTGTTTTAAAATACTCTTGCAAATCTCAGTTGGCTCGAAATAGCTGTTCTATGTTCTTTCAATGGAAGCCCCCACCTTCTGAGTACACTGGTTCATAGTTATTTATAAACCTGATGTCACTCAAATATTATTTTTACATCCCTCTCCTTACTCCCTCACATATGAAGATAGACCTATATAAAATTAGAAACTTCACATAAGGTATTCAGTCACTTAGGTAGGAATTATTGTCAGTCAGCAATCATTTATGAAGCATAAATTCATCATATTGGGTGAAGCATGTCTGTAAAACTGTTCCGTGGTAACCAGCTCTTTCTTCTTCTTTTTTTTTCCTTGGTGTTCTGAGGCAATTTAGGAAAAGCAATGAGGGCTGGGGGCTGGACTTAAAAGGTCTGTTTTTTTAAATTTTTTTATTTTTCGAGACAGAGTCTCGCTCTGTTGCCCAGGTTGGATGGAGTGCATGATCTCGGCTCACTGCAACCTCCACCTCCCAGGTTCAAGCGATTCTCCTGCCTGAGCCTCCTGAGTAGCTGGGATTACAGGCGTGCACCACTATACCCAGCTAATTTTTTGTATTTTTAGTAGAGACGGGGTCTCACCGTCTTGGCCAGGCTGGTCTCGAACTCCTGACTGCATGATCTGCCCGCCTCTGCCTCCCAAAGTGCTGGGATTACAGGTGTGAGCCACCACACCCGGCCCAGCTCTTTCTTTCTTTCTTTTTTGAGACAGAGTTTTGCTCTTGTTGCCCAGGCTGGAGTGCAATGGCAGGATCTCGGCTCACCGCAACCTCCACCTCCCGGATTCAAGCGATTCTCGTGCCTCAGCCTCCAGAGTAGCTGGGATTACAGGCATGTGCCACCACGCCCAGCTAATTTTGTATTTTTAGTAGAGACAGGGTTTCTCCATGTTGGTCAAGCTGGTCTGGAACTCCCAACCTTAGGTGATCCACCCACCTCGGCCTCCCAAATTGCTGGGATTACAGGCGTGAACCACCGTGCCTGGCCAGGTCCAGCTCTTTCTTAAAAAAAGATTTCTGTGATCAAATTAGTTTGTAAAACTACATGCCCCTTTGGGGATTTCTAAAAACCCTACAGTAAAGTAATCGAGTTATCTTTATTATAAGGTAGCAGTCTGCAAATTTATTTCATCGAAGAATTATTTTCTTTTCAGTCCCACCTAGTAACATTTCATGGAATCATATGTCTTGAATCCCATTTTGGAAAACCAGGGAGGTGGCCTGCACTGGGTATGTGGAGCCGAGAGTCCTGAGTTTGACCCTTGGCTCATCCACTCAACTGGTTGTATGACTTTGAGCAAATCACAACCTCTTAATATTTCATTTTCACATTTGAAGAGTGAGGACAGTAATACCTGTCTTGATCTAAGTTGTTTTATGGTTTAAATGAAATTATTATGACAGTGTGCTTTAAACACTATTAAAGTTATACAAATGAAAGCTATCATTAGATAGCTCGGATAAATATGAGGTCTTTTTGGAAATTAATAACATACAAGTGTAAAGAAACTTAACCTAGCAACTTTTACTGAATGATTGTGGATTTGAGTTTACTTAGGGGCCAGCACTGAGGGGGAAAAGCAGCATAATACAAAGGTAAAGGTAGGACTAGAGAATGTTGGGTGTAGAAATGTCTTTGGGAAATAACTGAATTTAACCCTCTAATTTTTAATTTTATGTTTGTAGAGATGGTGTCTGGCTATGTTACCCAGGCTGGTCTTGAGCTCTTGGGCTCAAGCAATCCTTCCGCTTTGGCTTTCCAAAGTGCTAGGATTAGAGGTGTGAACCACCACACCCAGCCTAACCTGCTCATTTTATAAATGACAGACCCAAGGCCTATATGAGGCAGGTGAATGGCATATGGTCACTCAGAGACTTAATATTAGAAACATCTGATTCCCTCATTGCCAATGGCTGCCTCAATATGAGACAAATCATGGCCCCATCCAATTTTCAATTAAGAGATACAAGATACTTACATGACATAATCAGAAAAAAATACAACAGAGAACAATTTTTTTTTGTTTGTTTTTGACAGGGTCTTTCTCTGTCACCCAGGTTGGAGTGTAATGGTGCAATGTCAGCTCACTGCAACCTCAGCCTCCCGCTCAAGCCATCCTCCCACCTAAGCCTCCCAAGTAACTGGGACTACAGGTGCACACTACCATGCCTGGGCCACCACGTCCAGCTAATTTTTTTTTTTTTTTTGGTAGAGATAGGGTTTCACCATGTTACCCAGGCTGGTCTCAAACTCCAGAGCTCAAGTGATCCTTTTGCCTCGGCCTTCCAAAGTGCTGGGATTACAGATGTGAGTCACCACATTCGGCCTCAGAATAAAATTTTAAAGCTCAAAAATTATTGCCAAAATAGGAAGGGCAATGAGAATCCAGGAATGAGTAGGCCAAGCAGCGAGGCTGGATTGGAAATGGGCCTGAATTTGGGGCCTTGAAGAACGTATAACACTACATTGGATTTAGATAATGCAAGAGGAAAACTAGCAGAGTTCCAGAATGGAATGGAAGATGATGGTAGGAGACTAAATGTTGGGCAATAGTCTAAATAGTTGGGCATTATAGTTTTGGTGAAATATTCAACAGTAAGCATTTACTGGACATCTTTCAAATTTGATGAAGTTTTTGGAGCTTTGGAGGGTATGAGAAGTAGACAACATCATCTCTTTAGGGAATTTCCTTTTTACTTGGAGAGAAGAACTAGAAACATTAAAAGTGGAGAATGTAAACAAATAGGATGCAATGCAAAGGGGTGAAATATGCACTTCTTTAAGTATGTATGTGAACCCCTACACCTACTTCAAAACTCCTTAACACCTAGTCATCTCAGCAATGTGTTCTTTTTAGCTTCTTTTCTACATTGCTGATATAGTACTTTTTGGAGGTATCACAATCCATTGTAAACTCTGCCTTTTTTTTTTTTTTTTTTTTACTGAGCTGTGAGCTTCCTGTGTCCTCAGGGATGAGGACAGTGCTGGCATAGAGTCTAATACAATCAATGTACCTAGACATGTTCTCATCCCTGCCCCTCCAATTGAAGAGGTCAAGGCTTTGAGATGTGAAAATCATCATAAGAAAAGCTGCATTTGACTTACAGAAAATGAAAAAGAGGAGGAAGGAGCAAGAAAAGCCTTGGATGGTCTTGCCAAGATGGTAGGGGAAGGAAGTTCATTAGGAGTAGGTTACTTTCACAACAGGAAAATCTTTCAACCACTAAGAAGGCCAACCTTTTTTCTCTTTCAGGGAAAACAACACTAATATTATTCAAATCTTTTGGAAATGAGCAAATTCCTTCCTTTCCCCTCTGCCCTGAGGCCTCAACTTTACACAATAGTTTTTCACACCAGGTGACCTGGAGCTGGTAGCCTGGCAGGGGAGTTCGCAAGCCCAGGACTGAGAAGTCCAGGCCCCAGGGCTAGTTAGGGGAACAGAAAAGAAACTCACCTTTGTTCATTAATATTTGCCTAGGGAATGAGGTATCTGCGTTAAACTTACAGAAAGCTGGTTAAAATCTTAACAACGTGGAGACGTGGAGATTCCCAGTATGCCAGTCCTAATGATCAGAAAGTTTTTAGAAAACACCTTGGGTGGCCCTACTGTAGTCTGCCCCATTGGATCCTTCCCAGGAAATGGCACCAGCGTACAAGTTTTGCAGTATTCAGGGCACAAAAGATCATTTATTTTTCCAATTGTGAAGTGAACATTAGATAAAATTATTTCATTTCAGATTTTTTGAAAAGGTAAAAATAATAAGGAAAATACCCTCTCGAAAAGGCTTTTTATTTCGTTTACTGAAAGCTTCCAATAACGTGCCTAGTTTTAAACTAGGTTACTGTTATTTATCACATAATCATCCCCACAGGTTTGATCACCACTAATTTGCAGATGCGGAAACTGACAAGCTCAGAGAGGCTCTCGGTTGCCTTTTGGGAAGTGGCCAAGGCGCGATTTGAATCCAGGTCTCTTACCTCCAGTTTCTGAGACCTTTCTAGACACCAAGGTTATCTCTTCAAATACTGCTGCAAGTAAACAGCTGTGTGAGTATCTAGACTTTTGAAGTTAGCAGACTCTAGGGAATAGGTAGAATAAAATATATGGGTATGTGTTCGCGGGAGCGCTTCTGCCACGTTTTATTCCGAGGCTAGCCTGAGAGATCATGGAAAACATTGCTTCTCCAAAACCACAGCGAAAAACAAGGAAATTAACAAGGCAGAATCGCGATGCGAGACTTGACAAAGTTGTTAATAAGGCGAAGGCCCAAAGCGCTATGCCAGGGCCTGCTACTTCATTTGTTTCAGCGATTAAACCAGCACGACAGGGGGCTGGAGGCAGGTAAAAAGCAGGCTCTTGCGTGGCCCGGACAGTTGATATTCCTGGCACTCGGTGTTCGAGATGTTTCCTTACAATTGCGTGTCTGTGCGGCTCGGTCTCCATATTCCACTCATTTTTGTCTCAACATTTTGTGGTATTTTATCACAAAATACGCCCGGCAAAGCAAAGATCCCGTTCAGTCTCTTTAAACACGGCTATCTTTTCTCAGGAGGCAGCCGCCGGGGCTTCACTCCTGGGCCACCAGCGACGTCCTCCAAGCGGGTCGAGCGGAGGCGCGTTCGCGACCCAGGGGCAGCGTGCCGAGCCCGGGCGTGGGGGGGCGTGGCCTTTCCACTCGGCGACCCCCGGCCACCGCCCACCCCGCGCGTGGGGGCGTGCGCGACTGCGGGGCGCGGAGAGGGGTGACCTCGGACTACCCTAGGCGCCCGCAGCACGCTCTGTACACAGACGCGAGGCGCTGTCCTGAGGTGACACCGGCTGCACGGCACAAGCAGCAGGCGCCGCCGATCAACTAGTTCGCACCGAGGATTCCTCTTGGTGCGTGGCCCAGTTTTCCTTAGGACGGGCTCCAACCCCTCCCTGACACCGCCCCCCTCACCGCCACGCTCCGAGGCCTTCCCCGGGGAAGCCTCGCGTCCCTCCCCCGCGGCTCCGGGCCGCACGCGCGCGATTCCTCGATTCCACAGGCGGTTCGCGCCGCGGGTGGGGGCGGGGCGCGCGGGGAGGGGGCTGGCGGCCGCCAGGGGAGGGGGGCCGGGGCCCGGGGGGCGGAGGAGGGCCGGCGTGGGGAGTTCCTCGCTCGCGGACCACACGCTCCGCGGGCCAATCCCGAGCCAGCCTCTAGCAGTGTCGCACGCGGGACACGTCCAAGCGTTTGTTGGCACGGCCAGTGAGGGGGAGGGGGCGAGGAGGAGGGAGGGGAGTTGAGTGACAGGCTTTGCGGGGCAGGCTGGGAATTGTAGTTCCCAGCTTCCGTGGCCATAGCCATTTTGTAGTCGGGGGACTACAACTTCCAGAAGATCAAGGGGACCATTCTAAGGTGCCCCGGGAATAGGCGGCTCTCCCCGGGGCCGGGCGTCCTGGGGCACTCCTACCCAGCAGCCCGGCTGCAGGTAGACGCGAAGGCAGTGGCGGGGGCTGGCGTGGGGCGGCCGTGGGGTGAGCGGCAGGCAGGGGAAAGGGGGTGAGGTGGAGCGACGGAGCGTGCCATGCATTGAGCTAGGGAGCCTCTCTCAATTCCACGCCTGGGCTCGGCGTGGGAGCGACGCCCGAGGGCTTGCCTGGGAGGGGTTCGTCGAGGTCGCTCGGGTGTCTGGTTGGCCAGGCTGCGGGGGTGCCCTGGACTGGGCCAGGGGCGGTCGGCACCAGGCTAAGCGGGCGCCTGGCGGCTGAGCGGTGGGAGTTTTCGGCTGGCGCCCGGCGGGGAATTATCCGAGGAGCCCTAACTTGTATAAAAGCAGAGTCCATTTAAAGTTGGGCTGGATAGCCTCTCTCTCATTGGTTAGGGGGCTTGGAAAAAAGAGACTCGGCGAGCCCTCGCTGTGGTGCTGCCGCCGCCGCCGCCGCCGCCGCTGGAGTTGACTCTTCTGCTCGCACTGCTGCTGCAGCACAAACGTGACTTCCAACATTTTTTATTTATCTTTCCCTTTTCTTTTCCAAGATGTAACTACGGATCAGACACTAAGGACCTTCACGTTTCGCTGATGTAGTTTTTGGAGGAAAAAGGGGGGGGAGTGAAGGGCGTCGGTTTTTTTTTGTGTGTGTGTGTATGTGTTTCGGGGGAAATTTTCCATTATGAGTGTTTTACTAAAGTGAATTTTTTTTTGTTTGCTTCGTTCGTCTTTGGCTCTTTTTTTTTCCTTCCCAATTTCGGATTTATTTCAAGGCGAATCTGGCTTTGGGGGAAGAGGAAGAAAAGTCGGATTACAAGATCAACCACCACCAACAACAATAAAAACCACCAGGATATTTTTTTGCAAATTTCTGACGGCTTTAAATTCATGAAGCAATTGTCCCCTTTTGCAATCAGCATTTGGATCTCAGAATGAGCAAGGAAAGACCCAAGAGGAATATCATTCAGAAGAAATACGTAAGTGCTCCTAACAACACATCCTTTGACTTGCAGTTTTAAGCAATGGCTGTGAATGTCAAGTTTATAGATAATTCTGCCTCTGAAGGGTTTTAAACACAGCGTCCGATAAGGCTGTTTCTTTTTTTTCTGAAAGAGGGCTTTTCAAGCAAAGTGGTGTCTGCCTAGTTTGGTTGAAAAAACAGACTGGTGTAGAGATACCTCAAGTGAATAAATTGACCTCGAATGACACAACCATAATCTACTTTTAGATGAAAGGCAAGGGATTTTGGTGGAGCTTGAGGTGGGGGGTGGCTGCGGTAATGTAACTAAACTGCATTCTCAAGCGGATTTGGCCCCGTATTGCACTTTGCATGCAAATGAGCCTGTGTTATTATTATTAATGTTATTTGGAAAAATCGTGTAACGCATGTGTGTTGGAAGCCCTTTAAGTTGCGATCGAGGGTCCGATTATGGCGATCTTCTCTTTGCACTGGCACATCAAATTTAATGTCTGTGGTCGTTTTGGCTTATCTGGTTTGCAACATAAACCAGTTGGGAATCATGTTACAGCGAATGCATTTGTTGGGATTGACTTTAATAATGAGGCTGGTTTTGTTTAAAAAATTCATGGTTTCCAGTTGTAGGGGAAAAGGACACACACTATGGCTAATGTTTTTAAGTGTGTACGTGAATGCATATGTAAGTAACTACAAATAATTTCTCCCTGTTAACTGGGCTTCTGAAATTGGGTGATTATTCCTAGATTTAAATGGCTTGGAATAGTTAAATTTGTTTTGTGCATAGTACAGCTACGTTTTGATTGGCATGGGGAGTGTTTTTGTTTTGTGTGTGGTGGCTTTTTTTTTTTTTTAAGTTTGAGGGGAGGGAGGAAAGGGGGACCGAGGGATTAACCAAATATGCACTCGAGTGATCTGTGATTAGCTGCATGCTTTAAATTAAATAACTCTTTTTTTTTTTCAAAAAAGGCCAAATGAACATACCTTAGGAATAATGCAACGTAAGAGGAAAGTTTATTTAAGTTGGGTAGACAAATTGGTGTTAATATTTTCCCTTTTTGATCATTGTGGTGTGTGTAATGAGAGATGACCTTCGGGGCACTGGTTTTGTAAAAAAATATATTTAATGGAAAAGCTGAATGCCTCTTCAAGAGAGCTGATCCTTATCTAGACACGTCAACTTCAACTATGAAAGAAATGCAAGGTTAAATAATCAAGCCCAACTTAGAAAGCTGTTCCATAAAGAATTTAAGAATTAAAATACATCCGCATTGCAGAGGGCTGGGTAGAATGCAAAGGACTAGTTTAAACTCGGGCTGTAGAAACTGCACTGAGGCAACCTTGTCTTGGAGCGTGGACGCCTTCCCGGGGCACGTCCGTTTCGGATGCAGCCACAAAGCAAATGGGGTAGAACTTGGACGAGAACCGCACCCCGCCTCCCATTCCGGACCTCGTTGAGGTGGAGAGCAGCGTGGGGTGGGTTTTCTTTCTTATTGCGGGCGTTCAGCGGATCGTGTCTCCGAGTCCGGGCGTCCGGCTGCAAGCCCGTGGCTGGCGGCGGCTGCGGGAGGCACGGCACGAGTTAATGCACCGGGAGCAGAGCCGGTGTTCCCGACGTCCTCGAGCCGGCTGCGAAAGGGACGGCCCGCGGGGGTCGCGGCAGGCTGGGCCGGGGCTGGGCGGGCGGGCGCGCGCGCGCGGCCTATAGGGGGCATACTCCGGGCTCTAGGCGGGCGCGCGAGGCGGGCACCGGTCTACCCGGGCCGGCTTGCAGGCGGGCAGGAGGGCGGGTGGGGCGCGGGGGTGGCGCGGCCTGCGGGGCGCGGGGAGGGGAGAGCGCGCGGGGAGGGGGTGGGAGCGGGGGCGGGGGCGTGGGCGTGCCGGGGAGGGGGCGCGCGGCGCACAGCTGCAGCGGGCGCCCCCCACCGCGCACACGGCCGAGCATGGCGGCGGCGGCCCGGCCGGCTTCCCGCGGCCCTGCCTGCGGGCTCCGACGCAGTCTCGAGAGCAACAGGTTAAGCCGGCGAGACGTCAGCGCGCCCCCTCTCCGCCCCCCGGTTCTTCCCCCGCCGCGCGCCGGCGCCCCAGCCCTTCTTCCCTCCCTCCGCCCCCCGCGGCGCTCGGTTCCCCGACGCTCCCGGCCGCACTCTGTTGTCATTGTGACGTCACAAAGGGACGGGCTCGGGTGGAACCTTCCCCTCCTCCTCCGTGACGTCAAAAGTCGGGCGGGAGGCTCCAGGCGCGGCGGGGCGGCGGGGGGAGGAGGGAGCTGGGCGGGGGCGGGGGCTGCCGCAGAGCCGGGCTGCGGCGTGGGAGGAGGAAGAGGAGGAAGATGCGCTCGGCCTCTGCCTTCCGCTCCGGAGCGTCGCGCTTCCCACCAGGTGAGGGCCGGGGAGCCGTAGGTCCCCAAAGGAGTGCCACTGGACCCTGTTCTGATGCCACTTGGGAAGCGGGGAGCGGGGAGGAGGCGCCTCCTTTCTGCAGGAATGTTTTCACTTCCTCTGTTCCAGGTCTCCTGATGGTGTTGCATTACTAGCGTGGTGCATGTGTCCCCTCTCCAGTGCTTATGTAAAGAAATGAAAGTATTCAGGGAAAGCTGTGCTTTGTTGGAGGACCGCGTTGTGGATTTGGCCACCTTGTCACTTGAAGTCGTGTTAGGGGTGCTTCAGCAGGATGTGGCCGGATGCCTTTCATGATGATGCTGCACAGCAGCAACTGTTGCTCTTTCTGGAAGCTTTGTGGTACTACGGTGGGGGGGCTTTCCTTTGCTGTGCCGGCTCTGTACCTACTGACTGTTATTTTGGGGGGCTGGACCAAAGGAAGACTTGTCATTGATAAATGTACTGAGAAGAGCACAGGACTCCTTTAAGTCTCAAGGTGCTCTGGGCTTAGTTCTTCTGAGCAGGGAAACCAGAGGCTGGCGTTCTGTTTTCTCTTTTGTAAAATGGAAAAATACCTGCCATTGCCACTTAACTAAGTCACTGAAAAGATCATGTGCATGGAAGATGTAAAACAGTATGCCTCTTTATAAGTAAGGTGGCATTATTACTTGAGCTGGTGGAAGGCAGCACGTTTCCCACAATTGGTCTCAAAAGCCCGGGATGCCTGCTGAGTTGCCATTTAGTTTATTACCTTAGCAAAGCAGAGTTGGGGGTGCGATTGTCGATAGTAGGCTTTGGGAGAAATGATTGTTATATTTCGTAATAAATGATGTCCTTGAGAAACTCATAAGTTGCAGTGTAATCCTGTCTTAATTGTGTTGAGCACGACTCCCACTGCAATACCTTAAATAACTGAAAACATTTGCCTTTGAAAGCCCCAATCGACTTGGACAATAAAAACAGTTGCATGTTTTGCTCTAGAGATATTTTCTGCCGTTTCCATCATTCCACTGCCTGGTTATTCCTAGGGAGAATAACAGATAGGATACTGGGGCTTCACCACTATTTGATCAGGTATCAGTTTGAAATAGAGAATCTCTGCCTTATGAAGATAGTAATTCCTGTAGTTAGCATGAAAACAAATTGCCAGTTTGATTTTCTAGGACAGCTCAAGCAGAATTTGTACCACTAGGCTGTAAGTTTTAAGTATCTAATTTTCTGATTTGAAAGTGTATGATTTAAAAATTGGAAAAAGTTTTTGTTATAAGCTTCAAAAGGATTTACTATAATTACAACTACGTAAAATTACAAAGAAAAAAGTAGGAAGAACACAAAATATACAGTGGTTGGATTTATGAGGTTTTTTGTTTTAAAACTTATTCATCACAAATTGTTCAGTCACGTTATTTTACAGTTGGTGGGGTGGTGGGGAAATTTGCACGTTATTTTATTGCTGTATTTTTTCTTTCCTGGGATGTTTACGTGGCTTTTCAGTTACTTGTTTCTAGTAGTGGAAAATCTTGCTCTGTGTTACTTAGGTGCAGGGCAGTGGCAGTTTAGCTCCTATCACTGTACAGGGACAGTATGGAAGGAAGACACAATGAAGTCCAAAGTGTCACTAAAATTTGAAAGAAAAATTATGTCGACAAGTAATCCAACTTGGTTTATTATCCAGGTTATATTATTTTACAGTAGGCTAATACCTAACTTGTGTGTCCCTGTAGCCACTGGCCCAAATAGACAACTAGAATTATTTGGTACTCGGTAATGCCTGTTTCCTCATAGTGGGTTAAACCAGTCCCTGTTGCTGGGCTGAAGGCTATTGACGCACTTCCAAGTGCCTTGGAAATAACTCCAGTGTTAATATATACCGTACTCCAAATGTTAAACTTTCCTCCTTCAGAACAAGACAATCTTTTGGAGTATATAATTGGTGTCTGTTACCTTCAAAATGGAACTTTTTTTTTTTTTTCAGAGAAGACACGAGAATGTCATATTAAAAGCGTAGTTCGTTAAAACACTTGGTGAAGGCTAACCTAGAGAGCATTTGTTTTTTTGTTTCCTTTTTTTTTTGAGACAGGGTCTTGCTCAGCCACCCAGGCTGGAACGCAGTGGTTCCTCACTGCAACCACTGTCTTCCGGGTTCAATCGATTCTCCTGTCTCAGCCTCCCGAGTAGGTGGGATTACAGGCACCCCCTATCATGTCCGGCTAATTTTTGTATTTTAGTAGAGATGGAGTTTCATTTCACCATATTGGCCTAGCTGGTCTTGAACTCCTGACCTCAGGTGATCTGCCCGCCTTGGCCTCCCAAAGTGCTGGGATTACAGGCGTGAGCCACTGCACCCAGCCAGCTGAACATTTTTAAGCTAGTGGTTTGCCCTTGCTCATGATGGTGTGAGGACTCACACTCCTGACATTGTCTGAATTCTGGCTGCATTGCTCTGATCATCCTGATGTTACTGGTCCACGTCTCCCCCAGGATTACAGTAGTAGCAGCTCTACTAACCACCTTTTGTCTACCCATCCTGCTTGCCCTGTTGGCTGCAGTATGTCCTGACTGATATCCCAGGATACAGGTCCTGGCCACCTCTGGGATGTACCTCTGTCCCCTTTGGCTTTCACCCAGAAGTCTTGCCAAGTGTCAGTTGTTTGTTCCCAAATCTGGTTATTCCAGTTGGGCTTATTATTGTAATTACAGTTAAGTATTATGTCAACCTTGAAACAGTGTGAAAAAGAGCGTGGTGGCTCATGCCTGTAATCCCAGCACTTTGGGAGGCTGAGGTGGGCGGATCATGAGGGTCAGGAGTTCAAGCCCAGCCTGACCAACATGGTGAAACCCCGTCTCTACTAAAAATACAAAAATTACCCGGGCATGGTGGCGCATGCCTGTAATCCCAGCTACTCGGGAGGCTGAGGCAGCAGAATTACTTGAACCCAGGAGGCGGAGGTTGCGGTGAGCCGCTTGAACCTGGGAGGCGGAGGTTGCAGTGAGCCGCTTGAACCTGGGAGGCGGAGGTTGCAGTGAGCTGAGATCCTGCCACTGCGTTCCAGCCTGGGCAAAAGAGTGAGACTCCATTCAAAAAAAAATGTGGGCCAGACATTTTTAAGATGTTTGGGAAAATCTGAAAGGACTGTCCACACACATTGCTTTGCAAGTGATTCCCTTTTAAGAACCAAACTTCAGTTATGCCCAGACTTCCCCAACAATCAAAACAGCATAATGTAGAACAACAGAACGTTCAGAGACTTAAGCTCAGAAAGAAGACCCATGGCCTCATATCAAAAAAACCGTAATTAAAAGTAGATTTGTCTGTCAGTTAATACAAAATGTTAGGGAATACCTTTTTTTTTTAAAAATTGTTTGTTATCTAACAAACTTGTTCCCATTAACTAACCAACTTCTGGTTCTTGTCATCTCTGATAAGAGTGCTTCCAACTGTGTTTAGCCTTAATCCCCGCATGCTAAACTGGACTCCCTGTCTGCTTCATGCCATGTAACATGTAAAGTGTGGATCAGTTTAAAGTAGTCCTACTGAGGTGATTGTATTACTTTTGGAGTTAAAATAATTGTGCCATTTACTGAGTGGCAGGGAGCAGAAAGATTAGTAATTTTGCACCTAATTCATGGAGTTCAGAAGCTTCTATCTTGTAATCTGGCAACTTTAATTATATATTGTTTTACTTATGAGATATTGTGGAAGGTCTGTTCCATTTTAAATCCTTAAGCCTTACCTGTTAATAAAAATGAAACCAAATGAATCTGTTTTTTCATGTGCTCAATTATCTTTCGTTTTTTTTCCGTCCTCCAGATAACTGTACTCTTTATATCCTGTGACTCCCTAAGACAAGCCTCAATTGCTTTTCCAGGCCCCCAGTCTTTGTTTTTCTGATTCCTTTTGTCCATAAACCTTTTCCATACTTGCCTCACCCTTGCAGGCATCTTTTATTCTAGGAGGTGAGAACTCCGTGGTATCTGTCTACATTTTTGTAGAAGAAGAGTGAGCGAGATTTTATTCTCATTATCCTTCTAGGTTTTAATCTTTCTTGGGACTTCAGACAATCCTATAACCTTCTGCCAGCTTCAGGTTTTTTTAATAAGGATTTTTTTTTTTGAGACAGAGGAGTCTCTCTCTCTCACCCAGGCTGGAGTGCAGTGGCGTGGTCTCTGTTCACTGCAGCCTCCAGCTCCTGGGTTCAAGCTATTCTCCCGCCTCAGCCTCCCGAGTAGCTGGGACTAACCAGCGTGTGCCACCACACCCGGCTCATTTTTGTATTTTTAGTAAAGACGGGGTTTCACTATGTTGGCCAGGCTGGTATTGAACTCCTGACCTCATGATCTGCCCACCTCAGCCTCCCAAAGTGTTGGAATTACAGGCGTGAGCCACCGTGCCTGGCCAAATAAGGATTTTTAAAATGCAGTTCTGATTCAGAATAAAATTATCGAAAGTGGAGCTGACCTGTCATTTTGCTCTTGGTGGAAGACTCATGTTTCCAGGACTTCCTGTTCCTGTCACTTCTTGCAGGTGGCTTTTGTCTTTCTTGCTCTCTTAGGCTGTAGGAAAGAGCCCACGCAGATTGTTCCAGAGGGCAAAGTATAGATCATTCCTGCGTGAGCAGCGACTGGCAGCTCGACTACCACTCTGGGTTTCTGGTTTTTTTTTTACACTTGTACCACAGTTTGTCTTGCCACAGATTTTACTATTTTAAGGGTGCTGCCCACCTCTACTGGGGTTCTTTTTTCCATTTGAAGAAATGTCCCAGAAAAGCATGGATTATAGAAAACACCTCCAGATGACGACACAACACCCACTTCTCTTAACGGGATTGTGAAGAGAGGACTCAGTCAATTCTGAAATAACCGCCTACATTGTGAGTTTGTCTGAGAAAAGGGGTTTTTGAGTCCATTTTATAGATGAGACAAGTAAGGTGAAAAACCAGTCAGATGGTTAGTTTTCTGAATTTGCTCCCCCCTTTTGAGTTCAGAGGACATAGAAGTAACATGAACGATCAGTGGAGCCCCAAAAAGGGGAGAAGAAAAGGTTGTAAAAGGGACTGTTGGCAGCCTTTGGAGAGGCTTTTTGCTTGGGAAAGTTGGAAGGGAGGGCAGTTTTGTCAGAAGTGTCCGTCTTCCCTGCATGTTTGTATTTGTTGTTTTTTGAAGAACCAGTTGGTGGAGCTACCCCCTTATACCCAGCTGGCTGTCTCTTTGAGTCATCATTGGAAGACTGACATCCCGTGTCCCTTGGGACTGGATGGTTTGTGCTCTTCTAGTTTTACAAATGCCCCCACCACATTCTTGGGTGTATCTGAGGCCCAGTGTGGGCTGCAGTTCTCCAGACTTGCAGGAACCAGTTTGATTTCCCAGGGCTGTTGACTTTTTCTTGTACTTGTATCATTGCCCCTGACTTTGAGGCTTAGGGGACCATGGAGCACTGGGGAAATCATATGCCCTCAGTCCTCACTAGGGGCTGGGCCATCCATTAAACAAAGGCTGTCCAGATGTGTTAATGAGGCGGTGTGAGTAATGGGAACATTATACATGATTACTTACATAATCATGGGACAGATGCGGGTGTTAGAGAAAGAGGAACCCTACTGGTAGAAGTTTTTGAGAGCTATTCTTGAGAGCTGGTGCTGCCTAAAAGGTCTCAATTGGATTTTAAGTTCTAATTTTGTAAGTCTGTCAAGCTCCACCACCCATGAAGAGGAAGGCCAGTGAACACTGAAATATTATCAACAGCAGTGTTTATTTACCATGCTCCTAGAAGGTTAACAAAATACATAGCCACAGGGCCGGGCGCGGTGGCTCATGCCCGTAATCCCAGCACTTTCGAAGGCCGAGGTGAGCGGATCACTTCAGGTCAGGAGTTCTAGACTAGCCTGGCCAACATGGTGAAACTCCGTCTCTACTAAAAATGCAAAAAAGTTAGCCAGGCGTGGTGGTGGGCACCTGTAATCCCAGCTACTTGGAAGGCCGAGGCAGGAGAATTACTTGAGGAGGATGGAGGTTGCAGTGAGGTGAGTGAGACTCTGTCTCCAAAAAAAACAAAACAAAAAACAAAAAAAAAACACCACAAAAACACACAAAAACAACCACTGTGTAACCACAGTTTTGCCCCTCCATACTCCCAGTAAGAGTCTTCCGTCATACACATTGGTAAACTAGGAATTCTTTTTTTTTTTTTTTTTTTTTGAGACGAGTCTCACTTTGTTGCCAGGCTGGAGTACAGTGGCGCTATCTCATTTTCCTGCCTCATCCTCTCGAGTAGCTGGGACTACAGGCACACACGACCATGCCCAGCTAATTTTTGTATTTTTAGTAGAGACGGGGTTTCACCCTGTTGGCCAGGATGGTCTCTATCTCTTGACCTTGTGATCAGCCCGCCTCAGCCTCCCAAAGTGCTGGGATTACAGGCGTGAGCCACTGCGCCTGGCCCAATTAGGAATTCTTAACAGTAACTTTTTTTCGGGGGAGGTGAGGAGGAGGAGTGAAAAGGATAGGTTGTGTGACTCTTGTCTACCTGGAGACCTGGTTTACTGGGACAGGAGAATGTGGGAGATCTTCTGACACCCAGTTTATTGATCTCTTAAAATCTTGGTGGTTCTGTCTCCATTATTTCCCAGCCACCATTTTGGTGAGAGCTTGGTCTGAAGTGGTAGTGTATTATCTGTTGGTTCTCTCTCGGTTTCAGCCAGCTGTTAGAGTGTTTGGTGCCTGTGGGGGCAGAAACAGGTGCCAGGAGGAAATGAGAAGGGATTAGGGCTGAGCATGTGTTTCTTGCATTTAGTCCTTCTATAGGTTTGCAGAAGGGGGCTGAGTGAATGCTTATTCTGTTAAGCAGCAGACTTTTGTGCTTTGTGTATATGCCTTATTACTGCTACTAAATGGACCTAAGTAATGAAATGCCTCAGATTTGGACAGGCTTGTGAATATATGGGGTACCTCTGCAGTAATGGACAAGGTTGGGAATGTGAGCCTACTTCAAGTTTGGCCTTGTGTTAAACTGGCTGTGTGACTCCAGGCAGGCTATACAACCTCGCTGAGCTATTTCCTCATCTGGACAACTTATTTCATGCACTTCACAGGCTTGTTGCTGGGAGAGGCAGGGGAATTTTTGATGTGAAAGCACTTTGTAAACTGCATACTGCTGCACAAATGCTCAAGGTATTATTACCCAGTTGGAAATCACCAACCTGGAGACATCAGGCCTGCCGGCGGCCTTCCTAGCTGACTCAGATATAAATGAATCAAATGAATTCTGCACTTTGATTCTTAATAAAGCAAGCTGATAGCAAGTAGCAGATGCACATTGGGAAACAGAACAAGGCTTTACGGATTAGAAGGTGATGTAATCACCTTCTACCTCTGTCCTATATTAGCCAACACTTGACTCCTAAATACACCTGGATGGTGAATTGGAAAGAGGGATAGATTGAGAATTAAGACTGGAGTGGCACTGAATCTGTGCACGAAGATGTTTAAAGAAGACATAGTCCTTGAAATTAAAAATCTGATTATGATGTGAACACAATTCTTTAGTGGCTCTCTGGTCCTCAGGATCGAATCTAAACCAACTTTGTTCCCAGCCCTTCTTGATGTACTCTGGGCTTATCCTGCCACCCATCCACTTCACACATCCGGGGCTTCAGCTGAGCCCAGCATTTTATTCCTCTACTTGCTTGGTGAATGGATTGCCTGAGGAGCCCACCGTGTTTGTCTGAAGCCTGTCACCCTGTTCACCCCGTCTGGCAGAGCCAGGCTCTTTCTCCCTGTTGGCTGGTCTCCTCGCACTTTATTTTTAGGTGCTGGAGTTATTTGCTTACATGTCTCTCACCCTATTAACCCCACAAGAGTAGGGGCTGAATTTATGTCATTGTAGGTCAATGTTAATGTCTAATACATAGTATACATTCTAGGAATATTTGAGTTCAAGTTTGGTGGAGTATTTCGAGTACTACTTAGTAGTGGGAGGGAATCGGTATGAATCTAGTGCAAAAAGATAGACTTAACTGATCACAATTTTGGACGCTATAATTTTATAGTTGAGAATTCCTGAGGTTTCTAGTACTGTTGTAAAGTGACCTGCTTGTGGTCGCATATTTTATCAGACACAGCTGGGGCATGAAATCCAGGTCCTGATACAGTAGAAGGCCCTCTCTGTTACTGCCTTTGGAAATACTTTTCTTTTCAGGGGGATTTTCAGTTATTCATGGTAACTGCAGTAATTGATTCATTTTCATGGAAAAATAAAATCCACGTGTAATCCCCATACCTAATTAAGCCAATAGCATTTTACTGTTGTGCAGATGGCCTTTTTTGCTTAATAAGAAGTGATTCAAATCAGACAAGTACTCAAAAGATAGAAATCATTGAAATCACATACTGGACATTCCTCTACTTGCACATACAGTTTTATATATATGGGCCATACTCTTTAAGTGCTGTATTTTTGTTACCTCCTGTTTGCATTTATAACTTGTCATGGTAATCAAAGACAGTGATTTTTAATGGCTTCAAGGCCGTTGGTTGATAGTTACCACTATTTTCTTGACTCATCTCTTCGGGATGGGTTTTTCACAGATTTGGGGCTGTTGTACAAAATGATGCATGCAGCCTGCTTTGCACGTGTCTGTTTGCACTCAACTCTAAATTCTTACTGTGAAATTACTGACTTAGAAGTGCCCGTATTTACGTTTTGATCTTTCCTAGTACATTGCTTTCTTGGAGAGAGGCTATACTAATTTACAGTCCCACAGGTAGTACACGTTAGGCCAGCGGGTTGGTTGGTTTGTTGGCTTTTAAAAAACAATACAGGCATTTGTAACAAGTAGTAAAGATGTCAGTTGAGTTTTATTTAAGTTTCTATTTTCTTCCTGTGTCCTCTCTCAGGGCATTTAGAACTAAATGAGATAAGATATGTGAAAGCACTTTGTAAAACAAAATTGCTCTAAGAACACAATGTGTTATTAGTCAGAACAGCTCCAGAAGGGAAGGGAAAGGGAGAGCCTTGGGTAATTGTACAATGATGTTCTTATTCTTATATGTATGAAATGCTTTTTGTTGTGAGGACATAGAGATACTTAAGTAATAAAGATGACCCCCAATCACATTGTTTTCATATGTGATCTCAGCCTTGTTTGTGAGGTGGGCTTTGTATATTTACGAAGATCCCTTTGGGCTGTGGCTTGGAAGACTGTTCAGTTAAATACAGCTGGCATTTTTTGGTTGCTTACCATGTTCTGACACTGTGTTGGGAGTTTGAAAATACGACATTGCCCTTGTCTGAGGGGCATTTACAGTTTAGTTGGCAGCAGGGATGTGAAACAATGGGAGGAGAGCACTGGCTTTGGAGTCAGTCTGAAGTTGAGGATCTCTGCTCTGTCATCTTGGGTAGATCACTTCACCTCTCCAGGTCTCAGTTTCTTCATCTTTGAAAGGGGGAGAATTGTGCCTTCATTATTGGCCTCTCAAGGTCATTTTGTGGGAGGCTGAATCAAATGTTAAAGTGTGAAGTGCTTTATGAACTGTGACTATAGCCGGACGTGGTGGCTCACACCTGTAATCCCAGCACTTTGGGAGGCCAAGGCGGGCGGATCACAAGGTCAGGAGTTTGAGGCCAGCCTGACTAACATGGTGAAAACCTGTCTCTACTGAAAATACAAAAATTAGCCAGGTGTGGTGGCAAGCGCCTGTAATCCCAGCTACTTGGGAGGCTGAGGCAGGAGAATTGCTTGAACCCAGGAGGCAGAGGTTGCAGTGAGCCGAGATTGCGCCACTGCACTCCAGCCTGGGCAACAGAGTAAGATCCTGTCTCAAAACAAAACAAAACAGCAGAACACCAACTGTGACTATTTAGACCATGTTATTATAAGTCTTACAGATTCTTGTGGCTGTAATTCTCCAAGTGCAAGATTGAAGAGGAAACTGTTTCTGGGTCATCTGTGCTGATTATAGTATATCCCAGTTGTTCGAGGAAGAGGATAGAAATTCAGATAATAAGGGTGCTTAGCACCTTTCCTTCTCACCAAGGCTTGGTTTTTCTTCCTAACTTATGGAAAAATGCAGTGTGAGTCTCTTTACACCCAGACATATTTTTGGATGGATGGGATTTTTATCTTCCCTCTGCCTTCCCTGGTTTGTGAGGATGAGGGTAGTGTTCACAGTGTGACTAAGAAGCAGCATGACTTTTTTGCATACTTTTGAATGAACTACTTTGCCTGCCTTTTATTCTCCAGGCAAGATGTACCCTTAGAGATGAGGTGGAACCTAACACTTGGTTTTACCTAAATTGCCTCCTTTTCCATTCTTACACTGCCCAGAGCACTAAAGCTCTGTTTGTTCTATTTTCAGCTTGTAATAATGTCTTGATGTTGGAGGATGAAAGAGCTGATGTGAATAGAAGGCATTTAATAAGGAGTCATGGTCTGGAGTCCCAGTCAAATTGGTAGCACATGGTTTTCATCTGCCTTGAAGGGCTTGGTTGCATGGTCTTGCCTTCCCAGAGCTGTGACAGCACCAGGCTGGACCCTATACACAATGCCACATCTCCTTCTCAAACTGATGATTTGGAGTGGCAAATGCCACTGGCTTTGAGAGATGCCAAAAGAATGGTGGACTTGGCTTCTTAATCTTTTGAAGATCATAAAATGTTTGCTAGGGCTCGCTCATCTGCACTTAGGACAGGGGTTAGATGGGTATGTTGGGGAGATGAGGTTATTTTAGTGGGGTTTGGTTAACGTTCAGTTTTAACCACTGTTCAGCCTTCTCACTGGGACTCCTAGCTGGTTACATTTTTTTGATGGGGGTTACTTTTATATATTTATGTATTTATGCCCCTCATTCTAAAAAAGGATTTTAAAGCCACGATGAGCTGTCATTCCAGGAGCAAATAATTTTTACTTAGATCTGACTCAAGTTCACTTTCCAAATGCAAAAAAGGGACAGTCAGATTAAACTGTGGACAGCAGAGTAGTTGTTCATTCATCTCAATGCAGCAGTGTTTGGGCCTGGCAGTGTTTTTGCTTTTGGTTTGAGGTCTTGACCTAAAACTTTAAGTAAAGGCAAGTTTTGCTTAATAGTATTGGTATTGACACTCTGACAGATCTTTTAATCTGAAAGAATTTTAAAGATGCATGAAAGTAATCCCCAGTGATGATTACATCTTCGAGTGGCAGAGATCAGATTTTTATTTAAATACCAATGCAGTTTATCACTTTTTTCCACAGTGCAGGGGGCCAGGGAGGGTCTGGATTTGGGAGGGTCTGGATTTAATAGTGAACTTCTGAACTTGACTTACTTTGAGGGGAGCGATTGGTGGGTGTTACTGCATGATTCAGTGTTCTGTGTCTTTAAAAATGTTTTGAAATACTCATTCTGTATTGTAATCCTCAAAACTACTGTTAGGATTCCAAACCATTGTGGTTTAAACTTAGCTGGAATCTAAAAGGTGGCTGACAGAGGGAAAGGAAACCTCCTTTAAATAAAGAACATATTTGGCTTGCCTAAGTGTCCCAGAGTCTGGGCTCTGGGCATATCTAAGCCATGGGCCAAGTCTCATAGTTGAAGAGGTCGGGAAATACTTGTCTCAAATATAAACACCAGCTCAATATAAACACCATCAATTAGTTCTGCAGAAACTCCTGGTACAAATAAGAACTTGCAAAGCTTCATGTTCAATGGAGTTCTTGTCTGGATGAGATAAGGAGTGCAATACTGCACGCTCTTCTGTACTTGTGATAAATCAAAACTCTAATGATGCTATTAAAATGGGTTTTCTTTTGGCCCTGGTAAGCTGGAAAGCATTGGGAGGTGGGGAGGATAGATTTCACTTGGAAATACCTGAAGCTAAAAAGTGGTGGCTTTTTCTTCTTTCTTCTAAATGTACTCCTTGCTCTAATTAAGCGATGTGATCACTGTCCCAACACTGACATACCCCAGGATGAAACACACTTTCTATTCAAGTAGCCTTTTTTTCCCTTGCCTTCTTCCATGAGACTTGCTGAAATTGTCATGTTATTTCTTTCCAGAATTTATTGGAGCATTAGGCAAAAGCCTCTTGGGAGTATAAATAATGATGATTATAAAGAACAGTCAGTTTACCAAGGAAGGCCATTATCTTTGACTTGCAAAGCTTTTACAGCCAAACATTGTTTGCTTACAGTTCTTTAATACAAATGAAGACCTTAATGGTAAGAAGAGTCCTATTACTACTCCCTTTGTACATGGAGGTCATCCCAATAAAGAAAGGACGATGTCACTTTGCTCAGGCATTAACAGCTTGTTTTTCAGGACAGGCATTATATACGGTCTATGAAGGCCTTGGATGGTGTTTTTTCTTCTTCTTCTTTTTTTTTTTTTTTTTTTTTGAGACGGAGTCTTGCTCTGTGGCCTGGGCTGGAGTGCAGTGGCGCTATCTTGGCTCACTGCAACAACCTCTACCTCCCAGGTTCAAGCGCTTCTCTTGCCTCAGCCTCCCAAGTGGCTGGGACTACAGGCGTGCGCCACGACACCCACCTAAATTTTGTGTTTTTTGTAGAGACAGGGTTTCACCATGTTAGTTTGCCAGGATGGTCTCCATCTCTTGACGTTGTGATCTGCCCGCCTTGGCCTCCCAAAGTGCTGGGATTACAGGCGTGAGCCACCCCGCCCGGCCTGGTGTTTTCTCTTCTAAGGAATGTGGTTTCTGCCATCAGCAGCAAGTAATCCTCCTTGCTGAGTGTTAAAAGATTTCTAAAGTTGATAAGGAATACTGAATTTACTTTTGTACTCCCTACTACGTCCTACTGTATATTGTATACCTTATATACAAATTCAGGGATTTTTTTTTTTTTTTTTGAGATGGAGCCTTGCTCTGTCACCCAGGCTGTAGTGCAGTGGCGCAATCTTGGCTCACCACGACCTCCACCTCCCTGGTTCAAGCAATTCTGCCTCAGCCTCCCAAGTAGCTGGGACTACAGGCGCGCGCCACCATGCCCGGCTAATTTTTTGTATTTTTAGTAGAGGCGGGGTTTCACCGTGCAGGTCAGGCTGGTTTCAAACTCCTGACCTTGTGATCCGCCTGCCTCAACCTCCGAAAGTGCTGGGATTATAGGCGTGAGCCACCGCGCCCGGCCCAGGGGATGGTTTTGACTTTGTCTGAGTAGGCACTGACATGGAAAAGGTATGTATAAATGAAGAATCTCATGCCTTTTTTTTTTTTTTGCCTGTTAATTTTCTTATTTTAAAATTTTTATAGAGGTGGGGTTTCGCTGTGTTTCCTCGGTGGGTCTTAAACTCCTGGCCTCAAGTGATCTTCACCCCAGTTCTTCCAGCCTCTTACACCTACGAATCATTTTCTGTCTTTGTGCTTTTGCTTATTCTGGATATTCCATGTGAATGGAATCATATAATATGTGGACTTTGTGTCTTGTGTCTTTTAAAATTATGTTTCTAAAATTCATGCTGGAGTGTGTATCAGTACTTCATTCCTTTTTGTGGCTGAATAACATTCCATTGTATGGATGTATCATGCTTTGTGTATCCAGTCATCAGCTGATGGACATTTGAGTTGTTTCTATGGTTTGGCTATTTTTTTTTTTTTTTTTTTGAGATGGAGTCTCACTCTAGCCCAGGCTGGAGTGCAGTGGCGCAATCTTGGCTCACTGCAACCTCCACTTCCGGGTCCCTGTTCAAGCAATTCTCTTGCCTCAGCCTTCCGAGTAGCTGGGATTACAGGTGTGCGCCACCACGCCCGGCTAATTTTTGTATTCTTAGTAGAGACGGGGTTTCACCACGATGGCCAGGCTAGTCTTGAACTCATGATCCACCCGCCTCGGCCACCCAAAGTGCTGGGATTTATAGGCGTGAGCCACCGTGCCCGGCCCGTTTGGCTATTTTGAACAATGCTGCGGTGAACGTTTGTGTGGAGGTTTTTGTGTGGATTTGTTTGCATTTCTCTTGGAATACCTTGTTAGAAAAGCGTGCTTATACGTATTACTACTAAATTTATTTTCTGTCATTAAGCTGTGTTTCAGTTCATGCCTCTGAAGTGATGTGCTCTGTTCAGCAGAGTCCTATGCTGTGCCCTCCCCTTCTGGGGCTCTAGCTTGCCCTTTGGAGGGTGTGTGTTTGTGTGTGTGTGTGTGTGTGTGTGTGTGTGTGTGTGTGTGTGTGGTAGGGGTCCTCATTTTCCTTACTGCCTGTCACTCTCCATGTCACTGTGGGTGGCCAAGAGTGGTCTCATTTCCTCTACCCCTTTGCAAACCGTAAACACTGGTCACACGTGCTTGTGCTGGAATCATATGCTCCAGTGGCTTGATGGTGGGACTTCAGATTTCCTGCATTACCTTAGGTTTTGACTTTCTTGTGGTTACCTCTGTCAGCATTCTTTGGCAGAGGACTATGGGGAGTAGAATGACCTAGAAATTATCCCTGATTTTCTTCTCCTTCCAAGCCTGCTGAACCAAAAATGGTTTTTATTTTTCTTTGAAAAACTACCCTTCGTAATGAACTCCATTAAGAAATAGGAGTTCTTCAAAGGAGGAGGGATGTTACTGTATTCTTTTGATTTCTCTGAATTTACTAGATTTATTTTCCCCAAGTTGGTGTGAAATTGTTGAGATTGGTCCTTAACTAGAGTCAGACAATTTTTTTTTTTTTTTTTTTGAGACAGAGTCTCACTTTGTCGCCCAGGCTGGAGTGCAGTGGCGCGATCTCCACTCATTGCAACCTCCGCCTTCCGGATTCAAGTGATTCTCCTGCCTCAGCCTCCAGAGTAGCCAGGATTACAGGCACCCGCCACCACGCCTGGCTAATTTTTGTATTTTTAGTAGATACAGGGTTTCACCTTGTTGGCCAGGCTGGTCTCAAACTCCTGACCTCAGGTGATCTGCCTGCCTCGGCCTCCCAAAATGCTGGGATTACAGGCGTGAGCCACCGTGCCCGGCTGGCAATTTTTATTTTTTAGATACAGGGTGTCGCTGTGTTACCCAAACTGGAGTGCCGTGACGTGAACGCAGCTCACTGCAGCCTTAACCTTCCTGGGCTCAAGCGATCCTCCCACCTCACCCTCCCAAGTAGCTGGGACTAGAGCTGCGCTTCACCATGCCTGGCTAATTTCAGGCAATTTTTAATTGTTAGAAAAACTGTAAGGCAACATAAGAGAAGTGGATGGTGGGGACTGCAAATGTCATGTGGCCTAGTGGTATTGAGAAGCATTTTGTGAAGCAGAGAGTGCGTGTTCCGATTCTGTAGGAGCACATGTCTTGGTGTGGGTGTCTTTGCCTTCCTAGAACTTCCTGATGATAAGAAGCCTGTAAACACCAGTGTGTCCGTCAGTATTTGGAATCTTGTTTATTACATAGTCCTCAGGTTCATTGTCAAAAAATTCTTTACTGATGGTATTAATCAGTATTTGGAATCTTATTTATTTCATAGTGCTCAAGGTCATTGTCAAAAAATTCTTTACTAATGGTATTAATCATGCTTCTCACACTCCAGTTTTTCTGGTATGGTTTTCTGTTCCAAATTGACTCCTGTGCTCAGGTCATTAGTTTGGCTTACTAACAGGAGCCCTGACAGCTATATTCAATATTTTTCTCTGCAGTGGCCAAGTAGCCAAGAATTTACTAGTTTAGACACCCACCTCAGTTTAGAAGGTAGGTGTGAGTGTGTGTGTGTGTGTGTGTGTGTGTGTGAGAGAGAGAGAGATAGAGAGAGAGAGAGAATATCTAAGAAGGAGTTAATATTTTAAACTTTGCATTGTTTAACTGGAAATCTGTGTTCTGCCGGGCCGCTTTTATGTGGTGTACCTATAACCTATACACATACTTGTGCCTTTCAAAGGCTAACGCCACATCCCTCCTACTAAAATTGCTTATTAGAGCTAATTTTAAGAATTGAGTTAGAACTGCCCTATAATGTAATGCAGAATATTTCCCAATAATGCCTAGGTTAACAATGATAGTCTTGCTGTATTGTGCAAAAAAGGCTTCTGTTCAGACCCAGCTGGGTTTCAGGCTTAATTCATTGCTCTATGGTGGGATCACCACAGCTGCTGTGGGGCCTTTACAAATGCAAAAAAGCTGTCAGTGTTTGTTTCATCAGCTGCATAAGTGATGAGGCCAAGTTGAGGAATCCATTCCAGTGCGCAGTGTGCAGGCTGTAGCTATTATTGTTTACAGAATTAGTGTGTTGGAGCTTTAAAATAGTTGGCACATCGTCTGCCCTTTAAAAGCACAAGACTAAGGAATGAGACCAGTTGGTTGTCCTTGTAATGTTGGCCGGATCCAGCCCAGCCCTTGTCTTTTAACAGCTACTGCTCCGGGCTGTGCTGTGGGACTTGACTACTCTTTGGAGGAAGTGGGGGTGCTTGCTGAGTTCTTGTCTCTGTAGTTCTGCATCCCAAACTTAGGTTTGCATTAAAAAAAAAAAAACAAAAAAAAACCACGCAGTCATTTAGAGTTCCATAAGTGTAATTGAGATTTAAAGCCTTAATCATCCTCCCAGCCCCAAATAGGTATAGGACTGTCAGCTGGGATTTCAAATATCTGTGCAGTAACATTCCAGATTTGGCTCTGTGAGATTTATTTTGTGAAGTGATACTGCTTTGGGACTTGCCCTCATCTCTCCCCATGGGTACAGAAGTTAAGGCTACTTCTTGGCTGGCAGCCAAGAAGCCAGGAAAGCCCCATTGGACAGGTCACTTTCCAGGCAATTAAGGAGTATTCTGCAGGGCTCTCCGTGAATGCTGTCTTAACAGTGTAAGGTGACCCTCTTCCCCAGGGACCTGATGAGCCCGGGCAGCATGTTCACTTGCTTTTGGACTGGGCAAGCAGGAATCTGGGACCAGCATCATGGTCATTCACAGGATAGTGTGGGATTGTCCCAGCCCCTCCCTCATTTACATTCAGACCCCTTCTCCACTCAGGGGTCTCTGCCTCATGGAAACTGGAGGGCATGGGCGGTGGCTGGTCTGTTACGGTTTTGAAAGTGGAGCTCATCAGGTCTCCTAGCCAACGGGGGTGAATAATTGTGCTTCCTTCCTCCCAGCTGGAAAAGGTCCCAAAGTGCTCTCTCATATTCATAAAAGAGATGGCACGAGGCTTAGTGTCTCCAAATTAAAGGTCAATACTGATCAGCTTTCTCTCAAAGAACTGTCACATATGCTCTCCTGGAGACATTTGTGTCTTCCCATTTTACCTTAGGAAGTCTCTGGAGCCCAGGAAGACAAGTGTGTCCGATGAATCTCCTGTGGTGTTGGTACTGATTAAGCAGAGTTTGGGGATCCTTGTATGGCCCCTCTTTTAAAGAGCTTTTTAGCACGGTCTCTGCCAAGTATATTTTAACTATTAGTTACAATGATCTTCCAACAGAGAGCAAACAACATAAGTAATAGTTTAGAGTTTTACTTCTTAACGTCTTCCCAAATTCCTTCTCTTTCTCTTTCTTACCTGCACCCTGGAATAGTAGTAATGAAAAGGAAAATAGCAAACCGTGAGCTCCATATCCTCTCCCGCTGGGGGAAGGACTAATTTGCAGGGCCTCATAAGGAAACAGCAGTTTCATGGTCATTGTTGTCAGCCTAGCAGCGCTTGGTTGCACTTCCGTTGCTCAACGTGTTTCTCCTGGCTAGGGTGTTTGTAGTATATTTTGAGTTTTAGGAATCTTTCATCAAAGTTTCTTCTGCTTTTTTGTCATTTTAAGGCAAAACATTTTCTTTTGGTAGCTTGAAAGTTCTACACTCTCAATGTTTAAACATTTTTTGGGGGCAGGGTGAGAAACAGCTTTGTGGACGCATATCTGATTGTGTGTGTTTGTTATTTCATGTCAGAGTCATCTCATGACCCCAGGAGACCTCGCCAGTGGCCTGCCTCCTAGAAAATGCACTGCTGTAATAACAATCAGGGCGCCAGCTGACCACTGGTTGTCCCTCAGCCACTTATTAGCTGCATGTCCAGGAGGATCACCAGGCCGTGGTTTAAATTCTCAGTGTTCTCCATTGTAATGTGGGGTGCACGTGCGTCCCTGAGTGGAGATTAGGTGCTCTAATAGGCACAACTGTGCCCCTTTCATTGTAGGCATTCTCTTCCACCTGTATATTAGTATTGCTTCTAGCTGCGTGATCGAGGGTTTGGGTTAATGCTGACATATTGCAACTTACTGGATGGCAAACAGTTAAGTTGTCTTCTTTGGCTGTGGGGAGAGATGGTGAATTCAACACTCTGAAACTCTGAACACAGTGTCCAAAGAGACCCTGGGCTTCCTGGAGTGTTATTCTCTTACTCTCCTAAACTATTCTCCCACTCCCATGAAAAAGAAAATCTTAAAGCGGCTTATCAGTATCTGACATAAGACAGAGTGAGGCCTTTCCTTTTATCTACATAGAGATAGCTCAAAGATCTGCTTGAGGGGCAGCAAAAGGCATGTCAGCAACCACCAGGAAAGGATCCTGAAGCCTAACCAACTGGTTATAAACAGCAGTAGGTGCCCAGGAGGGAACCGATACCTTCTGCAAGAGCATCAGTTGTGAAATGGCCTAGGTACAAGGATGTTCTTAGAATCAGGTTTCAAATTATAGTAACATGTAGACAGACTCTGAATGCTCTGGGAATGGAGTAAGCTGGTTCTAGTGAATTTTCTGGTTGACTGTTTCAAGCCATGGCATTAACTCCTTATGAAGGATATTTTTTGGCTGTCCTGTCTTCAGAAGTCCGGTGTGACGCGCGAACTCAATGGTTGCGTTCCCGAGGACCTTATGGAGTGCTTCCTGTCTGTCTGCCAGTGCTTTGTTACTGTGCACCTCTGTAGATATGCAGTAGGGGGTTTTTGGGTGGTGTGCATGCTGATCCCCAGAGGGTTTATATTTTACCTGCACTCCTGAGGATGTGTTTGTGTTGCTTGGGGCCCTGAGAAAAAACTGCATTCAGCGGAGGATTTAGTAAGAAGAAAGTTGGTTCCATGAAGTGTACATCAGCAGCCCCCGAGGATGCTGTGGGGTTGCAACTCCTAAGGCTTAACTGCGGCGGGGATCGGTTAATAGTATGGACAACCCCACACCCCAGAACAGGGGATAGGTGATGGACGACAGTGGGACACCATACCTAATGTGCATGCCTGCTTCCTAGAAATTGTGATAGTGTGGTGACTCTTTCCTTCTCTGAAAAGACCAAACCCCATCACTTAATATGGAAATTTAAAACCAAACCTCCAAACCCTTCTGACAGCATTTTTGACCAAATTGGCTTTTCGTAAGGGTAGAGCTAGATTTTCCGAAGAGCTTTAAAAACACAGCCTAGAAGCTTATCTTTGTGAACTTTTGCTGTTGTCAACAGTGGATATCTTGCTGCTGCTAATAGAAAACAAAAAAGTTCATTTGCCAAAATGCTTGTCATTTCCTCCTGAGGAGTGCAGCTTAACGCCAGGACTTCATTTAGTCAGAGGGAAATGGTTGCTACCTCCCTGTTAAGCTTCTTTCCATTATCCAGTTATGGCAGAATGAGTGTTGGGGCGGCCTGGGGAGATGGGGGTAAAATAAAGGAACAGCTAAGAAGTGGTTCTGCAGAATGTGTACTTATATCCGAAAGCCTGGATGGAAAGGACGGTGGCTTTGGAAGGGGTGTAAAATGGGAGGGGGTGGCAATCGCTGAAGCATGACAAGCCTCCGAAGGCCTCTGGGACTTGAACACAAAAAAGGGAGCTTTTTGCAGCTCTTTCACATGCACACGTCTCCCTCTGCCCCATCCATCCTCCCCTGCTGTTTTGTAAATCTCCCAGTTGGAAATTTTTAACATGGGAGAGCTTCTTCCTGTGCTTCAGTTGGCAGAATGCTCACACGCAGCTGCAAAGAATTTGCTTTTCCTTTTCACAGCATCTCTCATTTAAAAGCATTAGTGAGACTACAGAACAAAATAAAAACTTCAGGATTTTTCAGAAGTGGAAGCCAAGTTTAATTAAAGTCAAGGAAGTTCGGGGCTCTAACTCTTTTGTTAAACCTCTTAAAGTCAGGCGTGTGCGTGTGCCCATGGCAGGCAAGGTAGGAAATGCCAGTGCCTGTTTCTCGTTAGGAAATTTAAAGGCCTACTTGTCTGGTGTGTGCTTGGGGAATGTCCTAGAATTTATCAAAAGATGTGCTGAACCATCATGTCTTTGGTGGCCTCAAAATGCTTGCCAGTGGTGAGGTAGTTGCCCCTTTCTTGAGGGAGGAGGAAAACCGTTAAATAGCTTTCTGTCTCCTCCCAGGCCTCTGTAAAACCTCCTAATCTGAGTGCCCTGTTCCCTGTGCTCCACCCTTAGTCCCTAGACCAGGCCACTGGGCTGTGAGCATTCTTGTTGGGGGGGGCGGAAAGAAGTTTCTGACTCGATAACTGCCTCCTAAAGTTGGATTTTTAATCTTTCAATAGTATTTGAACCTTCAGCATTTTTTACATTTTATTTTAAGAGACAGGGTCTGTTGCCCAGGCTGGCGTGTGGTGGTGTGATCACAGCTTATTACTGCATCCTTGAACTCTTGGGCTCAAGAGATCCTCCTGCCTTCCCTGCCCCACCCCCTAGTAGCTGGGACCACAGGTGCATGACACCACACTTGGCTAATTTTTAATTTTTTTTTGTAGAGATGGCTATTTTAAAATTTTTTTTTTTTTTTTTTGGTAGAGATGGGGTCTAGCATTGTTTCCCAGGTTGGGTATGAACTCCTAGCCTCAATCATCCCACCTCAGCCTCCCAAAGTGATGGGATTACAGGTGTGAGCCACCTTGCCTGGCCCAGTTTCTTTGTCTAGGAGCCTTTACAAACATTTGCAAAGAATATCCAGGCAGTGTTTATGTATGTCTGCAGTGTTTTTACTGGCTATATAGACCACAGAGTCCAGAAGTGACTTGGATGGGATCCCCAGGAAGGATACTTAGAATTTACTTGACAGACTGAAGATTGGTAAACATGGTCTCAAGTTGAGTTTTGCTGGGAAATTGGTTAGCTTCGCTGCAACCTTGTCATTTCTTTCCTGAGTAATTATATGCAGACATTGGTAGAGGTTTTTTGTTTTTTCATAAAGAATATTAACACAAGGGTTGTATACAAAGGGAACATACTCATTTCTTAGTCTTTCTGTAGATCCTAGCACTTGTAACTGATGAAATGATTTGCCTCAGGGTCGATCCTTCCTTCCTTCCTTCAGTCCGTCCATCTGTCCGTCCGTCCTTCCGTCTTTGATGGACTTTCACTCATGTTGCCCAGGCTGGAGAGCAATGGTGTGATCTTGGCTCACTGCAGCCTCCACCTCCTGGGTTCACGCGATTCTCCTGCCTCAGCCTCCGGAGTAGCTGGGATTACAGGCATTTGCCACCACACCTGGCTAATTTGGTATTTTTAGTAGAGACAGGGTTTCTCCATGTTGGTCAGGCTGGTCCCGAACTCCTGACCTCAGGTGATCCACCCGCCTTGGCCTCCCAAAGTGCTGGGATTACAGGCACGAGCCACTGCACCTGGCCTGCTCAGGGTTTTTCTTGGTCTTCATGTATTTGATCCTATTGGTTAGGTAGCTGCAATCCCTTGCCCTCATTTTACAGGCATAGAATGGGTACTTTATTTAGGAAGGGTTATGATTGCGAGTCATGTCAGGTTACCAGAACTTGAAACTCTACCTTTGGACTTAGCAGTGACTGTGTTATTAAGGTGTTGGCATTTCCTTTAGGTTCTTGCTCTGCCTTGAAAAAGCTGACCAGAGGCCATGCATGGTGGTTTCACCTGTAATCCCAGCACTTTGGGAGGTCAAGGTGGGGAGATCACTTGAGCCTAGGAGTTTGAAACTAGCCTGGGCCACATGGTGAAACCCTGTCTCTACTAAAAATAGAAAAAATTATGGTGGTGCACACCTGTAATCCCAGGTACTTGGGAGGCTGAGGCAGGAGAATGGTATGAACCCAGGAGGCAGAGCTTGCAGTGAGCGGAGATCTTGCCACTGCACTCCAGCCTGGGCAACAGAGCAAGGCTCCCTCTCAAAAAAAAAAAGGAGAGAAAAGAAAAAACTGTGGGACCTTGGGCAAATCCCACACTTTGCTTTCCCACAGTTGTTTTCCTTAGCTGCAAGTATTGTGTGATGGGAACACAGAGTTCCCCTCCAGAATGCTATGATTTTTGTCTTTCAGAAGTTTGTAGCCTTTCATTTTATTTCATTTTAGTTCTACAAATATTTATTGTCTACTTTGTATACTTGTCCGATTGGAGATTGTTTTCTCAGGTGGTAGGGAGGGACATGTGTAGGGGGCATGCAGGATTGGGACCAAGGGAGGTTCAGGAGGGCTTGAGGCCAGTGGGTTCTAATCACACAAGGATCTTGTTAAAATGCAGCTCCTCATTCAGCAGGACTGAAGTGGGGCCTAGGATTCTGCATTCTAACAAACTCTCAGGGCCTACACTTCGTGTAGCAAGACTTTGGGACTGATTTTGTTCTTGGTGCAGTGGTTCGCTTCTTTTTTCTTTTTTAAATCTCACATCTCTGTCCCAACCTGAGCATCGAAGGGTAGGGTTCCCAATAAGATCTCTGCTACCAACAGAAGTTTGAAAACTATTGTTATAGAAGATCCAGGCCTGATGTGGTGGCCCATGCCTGTAATCTCATCACTTTGGGAGGCCAAGGCATGAGGCTTGCTTGAGCCCAGGAGTTCGAGACCAGCCTGGGCAACAATAGTGAGACCTCATCTCACCTTTTTCTGAACCAGCAGGGACTGAAGAGACACTCTCCTACAGTATAAAGATGTTTAAAAACAGTGATGCGGGCCAAGCACAGTGGCTCATGCCTGTAATCCCAGCACTTTGGGAGGCTGAGGCTGGCAGATCACTTGAGGCCAGGAGTTAAAGACAATCCTGGCCAACATGGTGAAACCCCATCTATACTAAAAATATAAAAAGTAGCTGGGCGTGGTGGTGTGTGCCTGTAATCCCAGCTACTCGGGAGGCTGAGGCAGGAGAATCGCCTGAAACTGGGAAGCAGAGGTTGCAGTGAGCTGAGATCATGCCACTGCACTCCAGCCTGGGCGGCAGAGCGAGACTGTCGCCTGTAGTCCCACCTACTCAGGAGAGGTTGAGGCATGAGAATCGCTTGAACCCAGGAAGTGGAGGTTGCAGCGAGCCAGGATCGTGCCATTGCACTCCAGCCTGGGCAACAGAGTTAGACTCTGTCTCAAAAAAACGAAAAAACAGCAGAAAAACAAAAAAACAAAAACAGTGATGCAATTGTAAGGCTTGAGCATTGCTTGAAAATGCATCTTTTGGCCCCGTGGCCCTCTATGTTGTCCTTTCTGAAGACCATTCTTCAGTTTTCATTCTGGAAGGAAGACAGCTAGCTATAATGCGTTGCCTGCATAGTGTTATCATGTACTTCCCAAAGCTTCCATGTCTTGCTTTAGTAGACAAAGAGCAGTGTCAGGAATTTCTGCGTAGAGCTCTTACTGTTTTGCTGGTTTCTATCCTGAACTCACCTTGAAAGCTTATATAGTTTTTAAAAAAGAGAAGTTGTTACTGGATAATAGCTACCATTGATTGAATGTATACCTACCCTAAATGCTTTACACAGACAGCATTTTACGTATTCACTTCTTACCACAACTCTGTGACTTAGCCATTTCCCCCAAATTGCAGCTGTGGAAACAAAGCAGGTAAAGGGGCCAGGGTTGGACCCCCCTACCACTACTTGACCCCAAATCAGGATGTTTCACTTTGGAGCCTGTGTTTGATTTCACTATCCTGGAAGGTGGTATTACCTCAGGTTTATGCAGCCATAGTCCTGGGTTTGAAGCCTGCCTCTGTCACAATCTCTGTGCCTCAGTTTTCTTATCTGTAAAATGGATGTGATAATTATAGTACCTGGGCCACTCAATTTTGCGTGGCACTGGCTATACATTTTATTTGTTGTTATGATTTTGTTTATTATTCTTGCCATAGTCACTAAGTTTATTTTCTTCTCCCTGCTCCCATTGGCTCTTTAAAAATCATTCTCTAAAATGTTAAATTAGCAATCTTAATGATTTTTCTTCCTGGAGTTAGGTTAAGAGGTTATATTTGTGTTTTCTTATCAACCTACAAAATAAAGCCTAGTAAGTTGCCATCTATAGAGAAAGCAGTTAGGGGATTCAGCATATGGCATTTACTAGATTTTGTTGGGTCCTCATTTTTTACGTGCTAAGTTTCCTCATGTGGGTGGGGAGGATGCCTTATGCCTGGAAACATCGCAGTTGCATGTAGTGGTCTCCCCTACCCTTATTTTAAAATACCTGAGTTTTATTTGTGAGCTATTGAATACACTTAGCGGGGCTCTCTGTAAACATACCCTGAATTTAATAGCCAAATGATGTACACATGGGATGTGCACATATAATCTCTTTTCCAATTGTCCCTGCTATATTTTCTTCCTTGACAAACTATAAAACCAAGGGAATGATTTTCAACTAATGGTTGTGTTCTTTAAAAAACTGTTTTTCAGCCAGATGTGGTGGCTCACGCCTGTAATCCCAGGACTTTGGGAGGCCAAGGTGGGTGGATCACCTGAGGTCAGGAGTTCAAGACCAGCCTGACCAACATGGAGAAACCCCATCTCTACTAAAAATACAAAATTAGCTGGGCATGGTGGCGCATGCCTGTAATCCCAGCTACTTGGAAGGCTGAGGCAGAAGAATCGCTTGAACCTGGGACTTGTGGGTTGCGGAGAGCCAAGATTGTGCCATTGCACTCCAGCCTGTGCAACAAGAGCGAAACTCTGTCTCAAAAAACAAACAAACAAGCAAACAAAACAGCTGTTTCTCAGGGTAGTTTTCTTGAAGCACGATTTTTCGAAATGTTGTAAATTAGTAGGACCCTGGCTTTGAGTCAGGATCCTAGATGGAATGAAATGACACCTAAAGATTGGTGTCATTCTTGGGGATACTCACTGAAGAACATACTGCTCCATTTTCTTTTCCCTTCTGCATTTCTCTGAAAAATTTTGTCTATATCTTTTTTTTTTTTTTTTAAGATGGAGTCTCGCCCTGTCACCCAGGCTGGAGTGCAGTGGCACGATCTCAGCTCACTGTGGCCTCTGCCTCCCGGGTTCAAGTGATTCTCCTGCCTCAGCCTCCGGAGTAGATGGGACTATAGGCGCCCGCCACCACGCCTGCCTAATTTTCTGTATTTTTAGTACAGACGGGGTTTCACCGTTTTGGCCAGGCTGGTCTTGAACTCCTCACCTCAGGTGATCCTCCTGCCTTGGCCTCCCAAAGTGCTGGGATTACAGGTGTGAGCCACTGTGCCTGGCCTGCTTCTCTATCTTTGAAAAAGGAGTTTTTGGGGGGCATTAAGGAAATTTGTCCCTTTTCATTTTAGATAGTTTTGGGGGATGTCTTTAATGTTTTTTTGTGGTTCTTTAGAGGTAGGCATATGAAGACACTGGTGCATTTTTATCTGCTAGAGAAATGGGATTGTTTTTAATTTTTACAGAGAAAAACTAAACATTTATATGCATTATTTAGTATTTTGTTCTGAAGAAACATGCTCTATTTGTAAAAGAGGAAATGTGTGGGAAAAGGGCAATTTGGCATGCTGTTGCATTTGCAGATCCAAATTTATTTTCCTTCATTCAGATAATTTAACACAGGCAAATAAGTGATGTTTCCAGAGTGGCTTCTTATATAGCAGCCCAGGAGGTGAGTGGGAGATTTCAGACCTCGACTTTTTGTGTGTGAAGGGGTGACTTAGCCAGGGCAATATTGTGTTGGCCTCTTTTTGATTCTGGGTTTTTTTGTTGGTGGTGATCCTGGGCACCTTCAGTCTTTGGTTCAGCCTGGGAAGGAGACTTTAGAGGTATCCACTCCCCCTTTCCCAGTTTTCTCCTGATTCTTCCTTCTAGTCCTTGTGCATATTAGTGGGATTCTTAAAAAGCCACTGACAATCTGATGGTCTAAAGCTCCACCTGCAGTTAGAAAGAAGCTGGTCAGCCTTCTGGAATGTTCTTTCTCCACTGGAGGCTAGTGAGCACCTCCAGACTAAAGGAGGTTTTGGTTGCGCTTTTAGCTTTGAGGAGGTCACTGAACTTCAAGAGCCCTTCTGGTTTCCCATTTTGTGTGATAGGATTAAAAACCTCTGTTTTGTTGGGTTACCTCCATCTCTGTGACTTGGGGTGACAACCTCGGACCAGTGGAGAAGGTGTGTGGGCAGCAGGAAGAGCTGTTTGATCTCTCCTTGCAAAATGTTTCTGGGCTCAGGTTCAAGAGTGGAGAAACCCTCTTGAACATGGAACAGTTGGCTCTTGGGGTCAGTAGCAAAGACAGGAATGAGCTGGAAAACTTTGTCCTGACCTAAAAGGAGGTTACATAGACAGGGTTTTGGATCTTTGGTGTTTCCTTTTTTACAAAGGCCATGTGCACAGCTGTACTTCCAGAATTGGAAAATTTCCTACATACACAGCTTCTTCATTAGATACTGATACCGGTTAATTCACAGTCACCTGTAATTGGAAACAGCTGCTGTTTCCCAGCTGACTAGGTGTTCAAGTCAGATGCTTTGAATTAGCTGGACTTGGATTATTCACATTTTAATTAAAGTCCATTTACCGCCCCCCCCGCCCCCCCCCCCGTCTTTTGCCTCTTCAATGACCAGGTTTTTACAGTAATACATTTGAAATTACATGAGTATCCCAGTAGAAAGGCATAATGTAAGTTCAAGGACTTGCAGTTGATTATGGCGTTACATTATTAAATAGTGAATTTAACAGCATTGCAATTCCCTTTTCTCACCCACTGAACCTTGCCTCTCTAGTGGGGAAAATTTCATTCCATTTAGGAAAGTTGAGACTTTTGTCCCCTTTCCTTCTCTTGGGACAGAGTTGTATTAACCTAATTGCTTGTGTCACTGCTACAGGGAAGGTACTGCGTGAAGTGGGACAAGCAATTTTCTGGTACTTTTTGTCTAATGGGGTTTGCAAATTAAGCCATGACTAGTGGGGATATTTTCTCAGAAGGGGGAAAAAAGTTAACAATTGCTATGGTGTGGCTGTTGTCCAGTGCTTCTGTATTGATGTAGAATGTTCACTGAGCAGCTTGTAGGAGAAAAAGACTGCCTTAATTTTTGGGCAAAAAGTTAGAAGGGAAATTGCTTTGCATTTTTCTCTCCATAATGTTAATGAGGAAAAGAGGCAATGCTGGAGGAAAGGAGATAAATGGATGTTTCCTCCCTTCCCTATTTAAGCTGCCTAAGTTGACTAAAGTTCGACTTGATAAATGTCCTAGTTAATTTAATTTTGTGTTAGTGCCTCTCCTCCCCTCGAGTGTCCAGTCCATTTTCAGCTGACTTGCAGAAAAACCAGGTTAATGCAAATCCATCAGATTCTGCATGCCTGTTAAAATGCTTAAGCATTCTACATGGCGTGGGAGACATGATGCTTGCCTAAAAGGGTCCCTGGAGAGATAAAGTATATTCCTGCCAGTGCATTTAGGGAGTTATACATATATAACTGTCTCATATGATTTGGCATTGTCACATACTGAGCACTGGGAGAGCCAAAGGAGGTCTGGGGTTGGTAGGCTGTTTGGAGGTAAAAGTTTACTACTGGAATAGTCCTTCCAGCTCAGCCGCTTCCATTTCCACATTGCCTCAGAAGTTGCCTAAAGGATGTGCATCTTGTTGGCAGCCCCATGACTTTCTAGAAGCCCTGTTGTGTCTGTTTAGTGCTTTCTACATTAGGTCGGAGATCTTTTTTCATTAGGTCAGAGATACTGGACTCCTTTTTGTTATGGAAATAACAGTCTCTTGGGGTTCTCTGGAATGAGCCAGGGGGTCCTGTTGGCCTGGTCCTTGGAGGAGAGGTCCAGGCTGTTGCTTTCAGTATCCATGCCACCTAGAATTTCCAGTGACTGTTGAGTCATTACATTGCTATGGTAGTTTCTTAGGAATAGGCCGGTACAATTTGATTGTGTTTTTGGACCTTCCCCCAAGTTACAAGGCCACCAGCACTCAGACTGTGGGTATACCATATGGACCAGGGAACACATTGGACAAGGCGAAAGCTTGTTACCATGAAGTTCGTTAGAAGATGAGACTCCATTCAAATTTTCAGTTCTTCATGAATGAGTTCTTAGTAAAAGTGCTTTGTTGATTTTTTTCCATGGTAGTAACTACCATGTTTTGAGTGCCTTGTTAAGTAACATAAGTACATAATATTCTCACACACTTTTGCAAAGCAGAATCTATTATTTTATTTTTACAGATGAGCAGATAGGGCTTTGGAGAGAGAAGTGGCCTGAAGTAGCACGCAGTGTGGGTGGCTGGAGTATATGCAGGGGCTGGAGTTACAGCCCAGTTTTCTTAATTGCTTTGATTTTATTTACCTATTTTTTATAGAAACAGGGTCTTGCTATGTTGCCCAGGCTGGTTTGGAACTCCTGGGCTCTAGCAGTCCTTCTGCTTCAACCTCCCAAAGTGCTGGGATTACAGGCATGAGCCACCGTGCTCTTGGCCTTAATTGTTCTGATTTTAATAATGGCATGATACCCCTGTACCCCAAGTTATACAGATGAGAGATTTTGGCTCTGGTATCTCTGTCTCTATCCTGGGTAAGGTTTCTCAGGGTTGTAGGCCAGTCTCTTTGTCAGGAAGAGAGCTAGTAGTTAAACTGAAACAAAGGTCCGACAGTCTTTATTTTGCATTTTAAGGTACCTGTTGAAAATGACTAAACGTAAAATGGGACTTTTGTTAATTCAGTAGCTGTTACTGAAGCATTAGATTGATTCACCTGTTTAAAAGTAGTTATGAAAGACAACAGAGAACAGCTTTCTATTTGTCGTAACTTACTAATAGATAGCCAAGTCTGCAAAAAAAAAAAAAAAACAGTCAAGGATTCCATGTAGTTGCAAAAGGCAAGTTCAAGAGAAAGTTGGCAAAGAAAGATGGATAGATGGAGAGAAAGCAAAAGAAATCCTTTTTTTTGGAGAGAGAACACACTGTTGGAGTATGCTGTAAACAGTGTAAGGGAAAAACCCCATAAAAAAGGTGAACTCTGGTTGGGCGCAGTGGTTCATGCCTGTAATCCCAGCACTTTGGGAGGCCGAGGTGGGTGGATCATTTCAGATCAGGAGTTTGAGATCAGCCTGGCCAACATGGTGAAACCCTGTCTCTACTAAAAATACAAAAATTAGCATGCCTGTAATCCCAGGCTGAAGCAGGAGAATCCCAGGCTGAAGCTTGAACCCAGGAGGTGGAGGTTGCGGTGAGCTGAGATTGTGCCACTGCACTCCAGTCTGGGCAACAGAGTGAGACCCTGTCTCAAAAGTTAAAGAAAGAAAGGTGAGCTGGGCGCCGTGGCTCTGCCAGCAAAATTTCAATCGAAACACTGCAATGAGCCAGGCACTGTACCTCATGCCTGTAATCCCAGCACTTTGGGAGGCTGAGGCGGGTGGATCACGAGGTCAGGAGATTGAGACCATGCTGGCTAACACGGTGAAACCCCGTCTCTACTAAAAATACAAAAAATTAGCTGGGCGTGATGGCTCATGCCTGTAATCCCAGCTACTCGGGAAGCTGAGGCAGGAGAATGGCGTGAACCCGGGAGGCGGAGCTTGCAGTGAGCCGAGATCGCGCCACTGCACTCCAGCCTGGGCAACAGAGCAAGACTCCGTCTCAAAAAATAAAAAATAAAAAAAGAAAGGTGAGCTCTGTAATAGTGTAGCTGGCTGGTGAAAATAGTGTAGCTGGCTGGTACAGCTCAGCAGAGGAAGGGTCTGGGGGGACATGCTCCCCCATCCCTGCCAGTCTCATATCTGCCATACCTGCTGCGAGAGGAATTGATTGGAGGACTGGTTTGGGTGGAAATTGTCCAGCCGGGCTGGGCATGGTGGCCCACACGTGTAATCCCAGCACTTTGAGAGGCTGAGGCGGGCAGATCACTTGAGGTCAGGCGTTCGAGATTAGCCTGGCCAACAAGGCGAAACCCTGTCTCTACTAAAAATACAAAAATTAGCTGGGTGTGGTGGCATACACCTGTAATCTCAGCTTGAGGTTGAGGCATGAGAATCTCAAGCTCAGGTTGAGGCATGAGAATCACTTGAACCTGGGAGGTGGAGGTTGCAGTGAGCCAAGATCGCACCACTGCACTTCAGCCTGGGAGGCAGAATGAAACTGTGTCTCCAAAAAAAAAAAAAGATAAATTGTCCAGCTATTGTATAACAAAATTCATATATACATATATTCATATATATGGACAATAAATTGCCTTTTGTTTTCACCACTAAATACAGTGTGGTTGTGACCCTTAGTTTTGTGTATTCTGACTCACAGCTAGGATTTAAATTGGTCGAAGGTTGTGTGTATTTTCAACATTAGTGAAATACTGTTTTCTGAAATGGTTGGAGCACGTCACTCCTATCTGCAATGTCTGTGTCCCAGGTGATATGTATGCCCACTAGTTTGATTTTGTTGGCGGTGGGTAAGTTTTGTGAGCCTGACTTTTCATATGTGTATGGATTTACATGTTTAGCCCCATGGCACGGCTTACTGCTTAGTTCCAGTGATTCCCTGGCCTCTGGGGTCGTGGAAGTATGTGCCCAGGTGTATTACTCTTTATCTCCCTTCTTGCTAATTTATAAAAGCCTTTACTTCCATAAGTACTTGCCTGATTAACACCACTTGCATTAAAATCTTACTGTCACTTCCCTTAGCTTTCCCAGCACAACTTTCTTGTACTTCATTCATGTACACCATTATTAATTTGTACTTGTGTTAATTTGTCAGAGTTGATGAGGCACTACCCTCTAATCTCCCTACTGTTGTCATAGTTTTCTTTCTTTGAAAAACAGTTACTTTCCTGCTCAGGTTCTCATTAGCCCCTATCGTCTATGGGATAAAATCTAAACTCTTAAGCATTACCTAAGACCCTTCATTAAATCAGTCTCCTGGCACTTAGGAGGCAATCAGTAAGTATTGGTTGTTATCCTAATTTTGCATTCCATATTAACTTGCAGATCATCTGGATGAATTTGATTAAATCCCCTTCCCTCACTGACTTTATATTTCGGGAAATTTCATGTCTAGGGAAGTTGAAGGAATAGCATGAACATCTGGGGCACTTACCACCTAGACTGAAAAATTAACACCTGGTCGTATGTATGTATATTACCCATTGTCTACTTTCTTCTGTCAAATCCGTGACTTTGGAAATTTTGAAATAGTGCTCTTGGTTATCCATTAAAAAAGGGTAAAATAAACATGCTGTTGCTCCTGCTGCAGCACTTCAGTAGTAATAAAAAAAAACTTCAGTGACTTGGGTTTTTTTCTGCCAAAGTAAATGTTGGCTCTCTTTCAGATGTAGTAATGTTGCTTCTCTAAATTCGTTCGAGTTAAACTAAAGCAGGGCCAAGTTGAGAAATTAGTTTCTCGGTTTTTTCCCTTCCAATTTAGAAAAAAATTAAGTTTTGGATATTCTTGTTCCTGTAATTTTCTTCCGTGTTCCTTCCTCCTCCTGCATTAAAAAAGATCATAAAGATTCAGCTAAGATGTCAGTGAAAGGAACAAAGATCCAGCCTTTTACATTCTTTATGTGGAGTTATTGTTGGTAGTAATCTTAAAATAGGGTGTTTGAATCCATGTTGAGGCAGTTAATTCAGTAGTACAGTTTCTTGTTAACCACAAAATGCTAAGTAAAGGTAAAGCCTTATCCCCACACCCTGCTTTTTTTTTTTTTTTTTGAGATGGAGTCTCGCTCTGTTGCCCAGGCTGGAGTGCAGCGATGTGATCTAGGCTCACTGCAGCCTCTGCCTCCTGAGTTCAAGCAGTTCTCCTGCCTCAACCTCCCGAATAGCTGGGATTACAAGAATGAGCCACCACCCCTGGCTAATTTTTGTATTTTCATTACAGATGGGGTTTCACCATGTTGGCCAGGCTGGTCTTGAATTCCTGACCTCAGGTTATCCTCCTGCCTTGACCTCCCAAAGTGCTGGAATTACAGGCATGAGCCACCGTGCCTGGCCAGCCCCTTAACATGTGATTTTTGCCTTTTTGTGATTTTTGTCTTATGCTGCAAAATACGCTTGCGTTATTACTAGCTAGGAAATCCAAGCAGGTATCACACCGTGCCGTCATATGAGTGATAACTGGGAGTTTTCATGCATTAGCTGGTATTTGACAGGTTTGCAGGTATGTTAGAAAGTTTCAGTGTGTCAGTGTTTGGTGTGTATAAGCGTGGGAGAGCCCAATACGCATGTGAGATGCAGCTTCCAGTCAGTGCGCATATACCACTTGGAGGGCATGCTGGTTGCAACCCTTTTATTCTAATAAGGAACTGGTTTGGCTAGGTGAACTACGAAGTCATTTTGGATTTGACCCACACTGGCTGTGTCTCACTCTTTACTGCAGTTTAATTCATGTGATGCTATTAAGATAATAACTTTGTCCAAGAGCAAAAGAACGTGAATACATTGTGGTATGTGTGAATTCACAAACAACATTCAAGATCAGTTTCAGAAATGTTCAGAGCAAAATCTGAAGTCCCCTTATCTCCTATTGTACTGCCTTCCTCAAAAGTAAGCCATCAGTGGTTTGCACATCCTTCTAGCCTTTCTGTGTATTTACCTGCATACATGCATGTTTATGTAAACATACAGATGGGTTCCCCGCGTGGGGGGCCCCCCACTTCACTTGGGGCCTATTTATATAAATGGAATGTAAGGTTATGGCCTGTGATTTAGCTTTTTCTCACGTAACAATATCTCAAAGATCTTTCCATGCCATTCTATTTCATGCTGCAAGTAGCTGATAGGACTAGTGTACTGTAGTTTATTTAGCCACTTCCTTCTGATGACTTTCTTCCTAGAAGAGTCCTTGGCATTTAGGAGGCACTCAGTAGACCTTTAGGTTGTTCATGCTGTTTTGTTTGCTTTAAAACATTTCTGTCCATACACCTTTCAAACATATGGTAATATTAGCATATGATTGAATTGGAAGTGCAGGGTCCAGGGTATGTGCTCTGTGTGTGTGTGTGTGTGTGTGTGTGTGTGTGTGTGTGTGTTTGAGACAGAGTCTTGCTCAGTTGCCAAGGCTGGAGTGCAGTGGCATGATCTCAGCGAACTGTAACCTTTGCCTCCCGAGTTCAGACCATTCTTGTGTGGTAGCTGGGACTACAGGTGTGCAGTGCACCATCATGCTCGACCAATTTCTGTATTTTAAGTAGAGACCAGGTTTCACCATGTTGCCCAGGCTGGTCTTGAACTCCTGGTCTCAGGTGATCCGCCCACCTTGGCATCCCAAAGTGCTGAGATTACAGGCGTGAGCCACAGCGCCTGTCATGTGCTGTTTTAGAGTAGGAAGAAATTTTTTCCTTCCGAAAACCTTCAGCCAATCTACACACCCACTAACAGCATATGAGAGTCTTTATTTTCCTCCCTTCTTGCCAACACTTAGCATTATACAGCTTCTTTGGTTTTTGCTAATAAATATCACTCATCATTGTCTTAATTTGCATTTCTCTGTTCTCAGCCTTTTTCGTTGGTCTGTCAGCTGTCCATATTTTTTTTCTTCATAACTTTTATCCACTATTATATTGGGTTGTTGGTTTCTTTCTCTCTCTCTTTTGTTCTCTCTCTTTCTCTCTCTGTCTTTGTCTTTCTCTCTTTCTCTTTTGTCTCTCCCCCTCTCCTCTCTTTCTTCCTCTTCTCTTCTCTTTTCTTTCCTCAGTTTCGCTCTTGTTGCCCAGGCTGAAGTGCAATGGCGAGATCTCAGCTCACCGCAACCTCCACCTCCTGGGTTCCTATTCTCCTGCCTCAGCCTCCCAAGTAGCTGAGATTACAGGCATGCGCCACCATGCTCAGCTAATTTTGTATTTTTAGTAGAGACAGGGTTTCTCCATGTTGGTCAGGCTGGTTTTGAACTCCCGACCTCAAGTGATCGGTCCACCTCGGCCTCCCAAAGTGCTGGGATTACAGGCGTGAGCCACCCCGCCCGGTCTGATTGTTGGTCTTTTTCTTATGACTTTTTGTCAGAGCACTTCATGTTCCTGAAATCTATCTATCTATCTATTTTTTTATTTTTTTTATTTTTTTTGAGACGGAGTCTCACTCTGTTGCCCAGGCTGGAGTGTAGTGGCGCGATCTTGGCTCACTGTAAGCTCTGCCTCCCGGGTTCTTGCCATTCTCCTGCCTCAGCCTCCCGAGTAGCTGGGACTACAGGCGCCCGCCACCACGCCCGGCTAATTTTTTGTATTTTTATTAGAGACGGGGTTTCACCGTGTTAGCCAGGACGGTCTCGATCTGCCGACCTTGTGATCTGCCCACCTTGGCCTCCCAAAGTGCTGGGATTACAGGTGTGAGCCACTGCGCCCGGCCGTTCTGGTATTTATTGAATATGTCGCAAATATTGTCTCCTAGTCTGTCCTTTGTCCTTTAAGTATTTTTTTTTTTTTTTTTGAGATGGAGTCTCACTCTGTGGCTCAGGCTGGAGCACAATAGCGTGATCGCGGCTTACTGCAAGCTCCACCTCCTGGGTTCATGCCATTCTCCTGCCTCAGCCTCCCGAGTAGCTGGGACTACAGGCATGCACCAGCTACGCCCGGCTAATTTTCTTGTATTTTTATTAGAGACGGGATTTCACCGTGTTAGCCAGGACGGTCTCGATCTGCCGACCTTGTGCTCCGCCCGCCTGGGCCTCCCAAAGTGCTGGGATTACAGGCGTGAGCCACCGTGCCCGGCCATTCTGATATTTATTAAATATGTTGCAAATATTTTCTTCTAGTCTGTCCATTGTCCTTTAAGTATTTTTTTTTTTTTTTTTTGAGATGGAGTGTCACTCTGTTGCCCAGGCTGGAGTGCAGTAGCGCGATCACGGCTCACTGCAAGCTCCACCTCCTGGGTTCATGCCATTCTCCTGCCTCAGCTTCCTGAGTAGCTGGGACTACAGGCGCCTGCCACCATGCCCGGCTAATTTTTTTTGAATTTTTAGTAGAGATGGGGTTTCACCATGTTAGCCAGGATGGTCTCCATCTCCTGACCTCATAATCTGCCAGCCTCAGCCTCTCAAAGTGCTGGGATTACAGGCGTGAGCCACTGCATCCAGCCTCCTTTAAGTATGTTTATAGTGTTTTTTCTTTCATAGAAGTTTTAAATTTTTCTGTAGTTCAGTTTGGTTTTCTTTTATGGGTTTTATGTCTTTGCTTAGGAATGCTTCTGTGACGCCAAGAATACGAAAATGTTCTGAGAAATTATCTTTCTTTTTATTACCTCCCATTGAGCTAAACACCACCCTCCAGCTTGCACTCTCCCATCACCCTACCCACTAAATTGATATGGAATTTACTTCTCTGGAATCCTCAAAAATGATTTCTTCTTTCAGCCACATATTATGGATGTCTTAGGGTTTATTCCTGTTGAAGTCCCAAATGGTGTAATTTTTCAAGTCTTGGCATACATTGATTGTTATGTCCATCAGTATTCTGTGTTAAATAATGTTTTCATACATCCCATGGATATATAGGAAACAGCTCTGGGCTATACTCCAGAGTTCCCAGACTCAGGATCCACTTAAATAAAAATCTAGGTAAATTCCCTTTTAGTTTTATAATCCTTTTTTTTTTTTTTTTGAGACGAAGTCTTGCTCTTGTTTCCCAGGCTGGAGTGTAATGGCGCGATTCCGGGTTCCAGCGATTCTCCTGCCTCAGCCTCCCAAGTAGCTGGGATTACAGGCGCCTGCCAACACGCTTGGCTAATTTTTGTATTTTTAGTAGAGACGGGGTTTTACCATATTGGCGAGGCTGGTCTTGAACTCCTGACTTCAGGTGATCCACCCACCTCAGCCTCCCAAAGTGCTGGGATTACAGGTGTGAGCCACTGTGCCTGGCTGTTTTATAATCCTTCATAAGAAAGGACAAAATAAGGTTGAAAAAGAGTTAACATCCATTATGCTATTGTGTTTACTTTTGAAAGGCAGCAAACATAAAGCTAGGAGCTTGCCCTTCAACAAACAGCTTTAGTTGGGTCTGGTAGAGTCACCCTAAGAACTGGCTCTGCGCCCCTCACCTGGATTGCAGTCACTGCTTGCTCTCATCTGTTGTACATATTTAGCATTCATGAAATTTCTTTTAAATGATGTAACTGCTTTGAAAACATTTCAGAACAATTGCATTGAATTGAACTTTTGCATTAATGTGAGTCTTTCTGGGTTTTTTTTTTTTTTTTTTTTTGAAAGGAAGTCTTGCTCTTGTTCTCCAGACTGGAGTGCAATGGCACGATCTTGGCTCACTGCAACCTCCGCCTCTGGGGTTCAAGCGATTCTCTTGCCTCAGCCTCCTGAGTAGCTGGGATTACAGGCACCTGCCACCACGCCCAGCTAATTTTTGTATTTTTTGTTTGTTTGTTTTAGTAGAGACTGGGTTTTACCATGTTGGCCAGGCTGGTCTCCAACTGCTAACCTCAGGTGATCCGCCTGCCTCGGCCTCCTAAAGTGCTGGGATTACAGGCGTGAGCCACCGCGCCCAGCCGTCAGTGTACTTTAAGTATATTTTCATTATGCAATTAATTACAATATGGGAAGTCAGTTAACTAGGTTATTACTTTGTGAAGTAAAGTTAAACATCTGGTCATAGAATGACTTAAAAATGACAAATAAGGAAAAAAATACATATATATATATATAACATGAGGTAAAGTTAAACCCAGATAGAGGGTATCATTGCTTTCATGCGTGGACTTTGAAATTGCTTTTTATTCCTGAGACCTTTTCTAGTTCTCTAACATGTTCCCCAATAAACGAGGTTAGAGGATAACAATTCTAGAAAAGAAGGCAGCATCTCGTAAGTCATTCCACATTGCATACAGTAAGTGTGATTTCTAGCCATGCATCCTTTTAAAAAAATTCATCTTGCAATAAAAGAATTTGGAGAGCCTTTGGAATCTTGTATAAAGGAATTTTGCTGGCATAAAACATGCATTATGTATCACACTTGTATTTTAAAGCCCACTTGATGAAAGAGCAGCAGGTTGACAGTGGTTGACTCAACAACCTGCAATTTCTGATGTATAACTATGAGCAGTGGGATTATTCTTTGTAACTTGGTTATATGAAGTTTGAAGTTTTTCCTTTCAGTGCAGTGTTTCCTTTTTCTTGTTTGTTTGTTTCCTGAGTCTCACTCTGTCTCCCAGGCTGGAGTGCAGTAGCGCCATCTACAAGCCAATTGCTTGACTCTCCTTTGGGTGAGTGGCTAAGTAAGTTAACAAGTACAAACAACAGAAATGCTTTCTTTGAAAATGTGAGACTTCAATAATAGAATGTGAGTTAGAATAGCAATCTAATTTTATAATTGGAAGAATTCTTTTTTTTTTTTTTTGAGATGAAGTCTCACTTTGTCACCCGAGTTGGAGTGCAGTGGTGTGATCTCGGCTCACTGCAACCTCTGCTTCCCGGATTCAAATGATTCTCTGCCTCAGCCGCCCGAGTAGCTGGGATTACAGGTGCCCACCACCACACCCGGCTAATTTTTGTATTTTTACTAGAGACGGGGTTTCACCATGTTGACCGGGCTGTTCTTGAACTCCTGACCTCATGATCCACCCGCCTTGGCCTCCCAAAGTGCTGGGATTACAGGCATGAGGTACAGTGCCCGGCTCATTGCAGTGTTTCGATTGAAATTTTGCTGGCAGAGCGTGGTGGCTCACGCCTGTATTCCCAGCACTTTGGGAGGCCGAGACGGGCGGATCACGAGGTCAGGAGATCGAGAGCATCCTGGCTAACACGGTGAAACCCCGTCTCTAATAAAAATACAAAAAAAATTAGCTGGGTGTGGTGGCAGGCGCCTGTAGTCCCAGCTACTTGGGAGGCTGAGGCAGGAGAATGGCGTGAACCCGGGAGGCAGAGCTTGCAGTGAGCCGAGACCATGCCACTGCACTCCAGCCTGGGCGACAGAGCGAGACTCCATCTCAAAAAAAAAAAAAGCGCCTCTTAATAGAAGGTAATAGGAATAACAGCCATCCATATTACAACTGCTGCCTCTTTCCCATTGTCAGAAAAATAATAAATACAAAATTAGCTGGCTGTGGTGGCAGGCGCCTGTAATCCCAGCTACTCCGGAGGCTGAGGCAGGATAATCTTGAACCTGAGGCTTGAACCTGGGAGGCGGAGGTTGCGGTCAGCCCAGATGGCGTCATTGAACTCCAGCCTGGGCAACAAGAGTGAAACTCTCATCTCAAAAAAAAAGAAAACACAAACAAACAAACAAACAAAAAAACCCCTCTTGATCCTTTCTTTCCTTGTTCTCTAATCATAGGTTCTTTTTCCTAAAAGTGCTTTTGCAATCGGGTGAAATGTGTGACCCCTTCTTAAAATATTTCCAAATACTTTTTTAAGTAAAATACCCAGGATTACAGAGGGGACCCATGACATTGAAATATAGCCATCAAAATGATAAAGAACAAATTTGTGATATGGTAATATGTTTCTTTGTCCTTTGTTGAATAACAAGTCCTCATAGTGGGTCTAATTATTGTAATTTTAAAATAATGATGTTATTTCAAGATAATCTGCAACCACTGTAAATCAGTATAAGAGTATTTGCAATTTTTTGTGTTGATACCAAACTCACACAGAATTACATTTTTGGTGTGTGGCGTATATTCAAAATATAAGGGAATGTTACATTTCAGCAAGAGATTGGTGAAAGTGAATATGGGACTGTTTCCCTATTCAAGTTCACAGACTTCAGAACCTCTGAGAATCTCTTTTCCTTCTTCCTGCAGTTGCTGCCTTTGTCTGGAGCTATCCCACTGTTGTCAGGGGAGTCTTACCTTGGCCTTAGCTTCGGTGTCATTTCCTCGAGGAGACATGTCTAGGTTAGGAGCCCATGTTAAACATGCCCATAGCTGCACCCTCTACTCATTTCAGCACTTTGAATCATGGACATTTATGAAAAGCATTGTATAATACCCACTTCCCCATTTGTGAGCTCTGTGAGCTTTCGGGGTGTGGTGACTGTTTCTGCCCCATTTACCGTTGATCTGCCAGTACCTAGCACAGTGTCACAGGCAGCCTTTGAATACTTGTATCTTGGATGACACAAATAGCAGTTGAGGCAGATGGAACAAAGCTTGTGAGAAAAGCTCAGGAGGTGTGACAGTCCCAAAGAGTGACCACCACGGCAAAGGGGAAGGCACATTGGTGGTATGGTGGCATATTAGGCCATTCTTGGATTGCTCTAAGGAATACCTCAGATTGGGTAATTTATAAAGAAAAGAGGTTTAATTGGCTCTTAGTTTGCAGGCTGTACACAAAACATGGCTGCTTAGCTTCTGGGGAAGCCTCTGGGAGTTTTTGCTCATGGCAGAAGGTGGGAGGGGTGGGAGCAGGCACCTCACATGGTCAGGAGGTGGGGGTTGGAGAAAAGGGGAGATGCCACACAATTTTTAAACACCCAGATATCACAAGAACTCTCATTCACGATTGCTAGGACAGCACCAAGCCATGAGGGATCCACCCCTATGACCCAGACACTTCCTGCCAGGCCCTGTCCCCCAACACTGGACATTACATTTCAACATGAAATTTGAGTGGGGACAAATATCTGAACTATATCAAGCGAGTGCCCAACGTTATTACTTGTTTGTCTGAATCTTTGCAGTGGAATATAAGATCCACAAGGGTGGGATTTTATATGTTAGCTGTTTATAGTTTATATGAAGATAGTCTGATTGTTTCTCAGTGGCTCACACATAGTAAGTGGCCAGTATGTTTCACATGTATTATATCAGTGTGTACTTTATTCAGGCCTCAGCTTGATCCTTTGCAAAAATGAGGGAGTTCCCTCCTAAGACCCCTTTGAGCTTCTATTGAAGTCTTTTTCTTCTCTCTACAGTTAAAGGAGATCTTATTGTAGGGCATAACTAGGCCCTGTGGGGTTACAATGGTGAATCTTACTTGGATTTTGCCTCCTGGCGAGGTGAAGAAGGGTCTACCCTTAAAGCAGCTAGTAAGCTCTGGTACCCAAGCCGGAGATGAGTCAGCTTCTCTCGTTAGTGAGCAGTGGATAGTGGAGCTCAGACTGAGGGACTGGGGGCAAGGAGCAGGGGTGGTTGTCCAAGCCACGGAGGGAGGAGAAGTGTCACCACTGGGGACAGCACAGACAAATGAATGATCTTGATTGGGGTTGGTGAAACCCCGTTAACAGTTAATCCAACGAGGTGGCACTTGAGCTGGGGCTTGAAGAAGTGAATATGATTTCCTCCAGCAGAAGGGTAAGTCCAAGGGAAGCATCGAGGGACACAAGAATAATGAAGAGTCAGCACCATAAGGCAGGGCGAGAGCAAAATAAATAAATAAAAAAGAATAATGAAAAATAGTTAAGAATGGTGCATGCAGAACACTGTCAGCAGTAGTCTGGTGTCCTTCTTTTGTGGGTAACTGTCTAAAAAGAAAATCTTTTATTTTGTTACATAAAGCCAATTCTTCTATTTTTTAAATCGTTTGTTACTATTATATTAAAATAGAGACAGGTCTTGCTGTGTTGCCCAGGCTGGTCTCAAACTCCTGGGCTCAAGCAATCCTCCCGCTTCGGCCTCTTAAAGTGCTGGGATTACAGGCATGAGCCACTGCCCAGCCCCTTCTTACTCTTTAAATTGTAAAAAAAAAAAACCATGTTTTAAGGCCGGGCGCAGTGAGTCACATCTGTAATCCCAGCACTTTGGGAGGATGAGGTGGGTCACTTGAGGTCAGGAGTTTGAGACCAGCTTTGTCAACAAGGTAAAACCCTGTCTCTACTAAAAATACACACGGGCGTGGTGGTGTATTCCTGTAATCCCAGCTGTTCAGGAGGCTGAGGCAGGAGAATCACTTGAACCCAGGAGGCGGAGGTTGCAGTAAGCTGAGATGGTGCCACTGCACTCCAGCCTGGGTGAGAGAGTGAGACTCTGTCTCAAAAAAACAAAAATAAAAAACATGATATAATTGGGACAAGAAGCACTGTGTATTGCACTTGGCAAAATTGTGGAATGTACAAGTCACTAAACCACTTGTCTTCATGGAAAGAAGGAGGGAGAAGATTTTAAATTTTTCTCAGACAAATTAGTGAGCTTCTATTGCTGTATAATTGACAGTCAAATGCACCCATTTCAAGCATACAGTTTTGTTAATTATACATACCTATGTAATCACCACCCAATTGAAATAGAGAATATTTTCATTACTCCAAATGTGTTTCCTCATCCCCTCCCAGCCACTGTTTTGATATCTGTCACTATAGCTTGTCCATTATTTTCAGCATAATGGTCTCAGATTATTCATGTTGTTGTATTTATCAGTTCATTTCATTTCATTGCCAAATAATACTTCATCGTATGGACATACCACAATTTATTGATGTGCTGGCTGATAAACTTTAGATTGTTTCCCATTTTTGGCTGTTATTGCTGTGAACATTAGTGTTCAAGACTCTTTGTAGTCATGTTTTCCTTTCTTGTGGGTAAATACTTAGGTGTGTAATTGCTGGGCCATAAAGTAGTCTTTGTTGAGGATTATAAGAAACTGCCACACTTCTCCAATGTCCTTGAACCATTTTGCAAGTGTTCCAGTTGTTCCACATCCTTGACAGCTTGGTATTGTCAGCCTGACTGCTTTCTGTACACAGTTTGTAGGGTTAGTATTTGGCCAGAATCAATCTCATGTGATGAAGGGTTGCTGAATAGTTTTTGGATGTTTTTTTCCCCCCCAAGACAGTGCCTTGCGCTGTCACCCAGGCTGGAGTGCAGTGGCACAATCTTGGCTCACTGCAAGCTCCACCTCCCGGGTTCATGCCATTCTCCTGCCTCAGCCTCCTGAGTAGCTGGGACTACAGGCGCCCACCGCCACGCCCAGTTAATTTTTTTTGTATTTTTAGTAGAGATGAGGTTTCACCATGTTAGCCAGTATGGTCTCGATCTGCTGACCTCGTGATCCGCCTGCCTCGGCCTCCCAGAGTGCTGGGATTACAGGCGTGAGGCACTGAGCCTGGCCTAGTTTTTGGATGTTTAAAAATATTTTGAAAATTCACGAGGCCAGGTGCTGTGTGTAAGCCCAGCCCTTTGGGAGGCTGAGGCAGTGCGAGATCATTTGAACTCAGGAGTTTGAGACCAGCCTGGACAACATAGCAAAACTGTGTCTCCACCAAAAATTAAAAAAAATTAATCAGCCGTGGCGGTGCATGCTTGTAGTCTCAGTTACTCAGGACGTTGCGGTGGGAGATTGCTTGAGCCCAGGAGTTCAAGGCTGTTGTGAGCCGTGATTGCACCATTTCATTCCAGCCTGGGTAATAGAGCGAGACCCTGTCTCAAAAAAATAAAAATTCACATGAGAAGAAGTGTATAGTTAATGAAAACCATCTTGGTGAATGTGTTTATCATCTCCTCTTAGTTTAAAAATGCTCCTTTACTCATCTTCCTGAAGTTATGGACCTAACAAAAAAATCCCTCACTTTTCACACATGGTATAGCTTGCTATTACAGTGAAGTGAAGTTGTTAGGGGCACAATCTGTTTTCCCCTCCTGTTCTCAGTGACCTAACTAATCTGGTTTCTCAGCCTGCGTCAGGCTTGAAGGAGCGCTTAAATGAAGAAGGGGAGTTTCTTGGATGAGAGGAGGAGCCTTGGCCCTGCAGTGAAGGGATGCTGCAGGGATCCTGCTAGGCCAGAATCGCTGCATTCAGGAGCAGTGTGTGGGATGCGCAGCCAGACCCTTCCAGCCCAGTAGTGGTGGGACACCGTCTCTTGCACGGTGCCTACATGCATATTCTAAAATGTTGTTTTCTCTAGAAGTAACACAGAAACCACAGAAATGGAGAAAAGAAGTTAATCCCTTGTTCCACTACCCCACACAAATGTTGTAAATATTTTGCTGTAATTTTTTTATAGTTGTTCTTTCCTTCCATTCAAATATTTTTGTACTCCTACTGTATATACAATTTTTGTTTTTCTATTTTTTTACTGGACAGTGTCATAGCATTTTCTTATGTTATTACATATGTTCCATAATAACAAATTTTTTGAAACCTCTCTCATTGCCATCTTTTCTGAAACAAATGCCCTTCGATTTAGGTTTCATAATGGATGTTGTAGGTCTGTGTGATTAGGCTTTTTTTTTGAGTCTTGCTCTGTCGCCCAAGCTGGAATGCAGTGGCGCCATCTCGGCTCACTGCAAGCTTCGCCTCCCGGGTTCACGCCATTCTCCTGCCTCAGCCTCCCGAGTAGCTGGGACCACAGACGCCCGCCACCTCGCCCGGCTAATTTTTTTTTTTGTATTTTTAGTAGAGACGGGGTTTCACTGTGTTAGCCAGGATGGTTTCGATCTCCTGACCTCGTGATCCGCCCGCCTCAGCCTCCCAAAGAGCTGGGATTACAGGCGTGAGACACCGCGCCCAGCTGAAGCTTTTTATTTGATTTCTGTGTCCTTTTTTTCCATAATAGCAATTTTAACAGGTATGTAATTTTCTATACAGTGAATGTACAACTGCAGTTTTCTTTAACTATTACACAATGTTTAAAGATTTGTGTTTTCTTAGGATGGATTATCAAATATGGAATCTCTGGGTCAATGGAAATAGACATCTTAAAGTCTTCTGTTGTATTTTGACAAATGATTTGCCAGAAATGTAACACTCCTGAGTCCCGGTGAGGCTCAGAGAGCACCCCAGGGCCCACTGTAACATTTAAATATTAAAAATGGAACCAGAGCTAATTTTAGTTTAAGAAAGTTTAAGTTGTAATATTATGTATTTGTTTATGTTTTGAGACGAGTCTCACTCTTGTCACCCAGGCTGGAATGCAGTAGCACAATCTTGGCTCACTGCAACCTTTGCTTCCCGGGGTTAAGTGATCGTCCACTTCAGCATCCTGAGTGGCTGGAACCATTGGTGTGCGCCACCATTCCCAGCTAATTTTATTTTATTTTTTGTAGACACGAGATCTTCCTATGTTGTCTAATCTGGTATTGAACTCTTGGCCTCAGGCGATCCTCCTGCCTCCACCTTCCAAATTGCTGAGATTACAAGAGGCATGAGCCACCATGCCCAGCCTAAGTTGTAATATTTTTTTAGTTTGAACTAAAGGCAGGACACCTTTAGAAAGACTTATGTGTAAATGCAACTATAAAAAGTTTTACAGGGCACCAGTGCCTGCTTGGGAAGTTGATCTTTGTCTGTCTCTTCTCTGTGTGAGTAAAGCATTGTTTGATCCAGTGCTTGACTTTGCCATGTTCCTGTGTGACGCTTATGCCAAGTTGCAGTAGTCAGGACCTCTACTTCCAATAATAGGCAGCACCTGCCACTTACAGTATGGTCAGTGAACTGAGGGATTTGCACAGGCCCTTATTAGCCTGGCGTGGTGGTGGGCACCTGTAATCCCAGCTATTGGGGAGGCTGTGGCAGGAGAATAGCTTGAATCCAGGAAGTGGAGCTTGCGGTGAGCTGAGATGGTGCCACTGCCCTCCAGCCTGGGTGATAGAGCAAGATTCCATCTCAACAAAAACCCAAAAAACCTGCTAGCTCTTTGAAGGGACAGATGAAGGAATTAGTGGGCAGAATTTTTGAACGGATGTTGTAAATGTTTGTGATAAGGCCTTGTTAAATGTATTTCTATTTATTTAGTAAACACTGAGTTCTTAGAATTTTTCAGAAGGTTGTTCCTAGCCAGGGAGACAGGTATACAAACTGATCATTGGTATTAGGCAGTGTCATACAGGCAGACTTGACCTCTCTTGACCTCCTAAGAATGGTCCTTGAGACTGGATGCTTCCTTACCAGAAGATGAAGAGTCCTCACAGCCTGTGCCGGATTTCTCACTTTCTGTGGGAATGTGTCTCCCTGTTTCAGAATCAATTTGTGCTCTTTTGTTGTTCTGCTTAAGTGGGTATGTCATAGCATCTGGCCAACTCCTCTGCTATATTTGTCCTCTGAACACAAAAGGGTTGCATGCAGGCCAGTGGCCTGGCATTGGCTGCCAGGAGGGACCTGCTGGTCACAGGGCACCAATGCCTGCTCCGGAAGTTGATCTTTCTCTATCTCTTTTCTGTGTGAGTAAAGCATTGTTTGATCCAGTGTTTGACATTGCCATTTTCCTTTGTGACTCCTATGCCAAGTTGCAGTAGTCAGGACTTCTACTTCCAATAATAGGCAACAGCTGCCCCTTATAGTATGGTCAGTGAAGTGAGGGACTTGCACAGACCCTTTTGAAAGCTTCCAGGAAAAGGAAGGCCAACCACTTTAGGTTAGGTGCACCCCAGAGGGAAGGGAGTGCCCTTTTTTTCTTTTTTTGAGATGGAGTCTTGCTCTGTTGCCAGGCTGGCTGGAGTGCAATGGTGTGATCTTGGCTCACTGCAGCCTCCACCTCCCGGGTTCAAGCGATTCTTCTGCCTCAGCCTCCCGAGCAGCTGGGACTATAGGTGCGTGCCAGCACACCCGGCTAATTTTTTGTATTTTTAGTAGAGATAGGGTTTCACCGTGTTAGCCAGGATGGTCTCGATCTCCTGGCCTCGTGATCCGCCCACCTTGGCCTCCCAAAGTGCTGGGATTCAGGCATGAGCCATTGCAGTGCCTTTTAAAGGATGAGAAGAAATTAGGTAACAGGTCACAAGGTTAGAGAAGCAGAGTGAAAACCTGCTTACCCTAGCAAGTGAGGAGGAGTGAAAGTGCAGGGCCCAGTGCAGTGTTGTGTGTGCGTGTGCATCACATACAGATTTGCTGGAGTGGGGAGGTTGATGCAGGACATGGAAGGGAGATGAGGCTGGAGAGGTAGAACTTGCTCTGTCGGGAGTCAAGAACCAATGAATTGTAGAACCAATACATTGTACACTTAAAGCTGGGGTGGCGCGTATCCCTGATGTCGTGTGACTTTAGTGTGAGGGCCTCAACCCAAGTTTTGCATATAGTGAGTGATACAAGGGAAGGACTTTGTCTCCTGGAAGATATCTGGGAACTTGGGACAGAGCAGGCATCCTGGAGCAGAAGCTGTTTTAGGAAGAGAGTGTAATGAATTGAGATAACTTTTTCTTTTTTGGTGGATTAATAATTTCTTGAAAAAGGAAACCTATAAATCCAAATTCAAGAATTTAGATAACCTGAGAGCGATTAGAAACTGCCTAGCAAGGTCTTTGCCTGGTATAGAACCATCTTATTACTTCATGCAGACCATTTGTGTGACCAGATGTGTCATTTCTTTTTTTTTTCTTTCTTTTTTTTTTTTTTTTGAGACGGAGTCTTGCTCTGTCGCCCAGGCTGGAGTGCAGTGACGCCATCTTGGCTCACTGCAAGCTCCGCTTCCTGGGTTCACGCCATTCTCCTGCCTCAGCCTCCCAAGTAGCTGGGACTACAGGCGCCCGCCAACACGCCCGGCTAATTTTTTGTATTTTTAGTAGAGACGGGATTTCACCGTGTTAGCCAGGATGGTCTTGATCTCCTGACCTCGTGATCCGCCTGCCTCAGCCTCTGAAAGTGCTGGGATTACAGACGTGAGCCACTGCTCCTGTCATTTCTAATAGTAATTAGAAGTTAATTTATATAGGTAATAAGATTTGTGGAGTAAAGCATTTTAGGGCCATTTCAACGGAAAACAGTGGTTCAGCATTGGCATAGGTGCTCTGTGATGTAATGGAAAGAATACTGCATTTATTGTTGGAAGTCTTGATTGGAAGGAGATTGCTGTATGATGAAGACCGGTTTCAGAAATACATGTTTCAATACTGAATAGGCCCTTTGCCACTTAGGGTTATTTATTTATTTATTTATTTTTGAGACGGAGTCTCGCTCTGTCACCTAAGCTGCAGTAGAGTGGCACAACCTCGGTTTACTGCAACCTCTGCCTCCTGAGTTCAAGTGATTCTTCTGCCTCAGCCTTCTAAGTAGCTGGGACTACAGGTGTGCGCCACCATGCACAGCTAAGTTTTGTATTTTAGTAGAGATGGGGCATCACCATATTGGCCAGGCTGGTCTCGAACTCCTGACCTCATGATCCACCCTCCTTGGCCTCCCAATGTGCGGGGATTACAGGCCTGAGCCACTGTGCCTGGCAGGGTTTTATACTTAAAAACCATTTTATACCTCACGCAGAGAAAGACCAAGGACTACACCTGTCCAGCCATTTCGTAAGGCTAGACTCTCGTGCACAAAAGTATTTCGGTAATTTTTTCAACCTCCTTTATTTTGTGATCTTGCTTCTTCTCAACCCAGAAAAGATGTTTCCCTTTAAAAATAGTCAAAATCAAACACCAGTGCCTTGGTCAGTAACATTTTTTACTTCTTTGAAGTAAATGCTATTGTTTTTTTATTCTTGGCATAATTCCTAGCCTAAGTTGCTGCACTTGGGCATTTGTAGCGTGCATTCTAATAGAATCATTTTGGGAGTATTTGAACGTTGTGCTAGAGAAGACTGCAGCAGCAAATCAATATAACACGATATTCTCTGCATCTCTCAGAGCTCCTGGTGGCATTTATCTTCCTTCATACTTTTTTATTTGTTCTTACTTAGTTTGTGGTTATGTTTTACGAGTGGTTTTTTAATGAAAAGTTGCAAAACCTAGTACAAAGATTTTCCCAAATGTTAACCATAGCATATTTGTGTGACAGTATTCTCTCTCCCTTATCCCTCCCCATCATCCTCCCCGCAACACATAGTTTTTATAATTCTGAACCATTTGAGAATATGTTGCAAATATAATATCCCCTTATCACCAAATACTTCAGTGTCTATTTCCTAAAATTAAGGATATTTTGTTCCCAAGCCATAGTTAACAATGAGGACACTAATACTGGGAGGCCTTAAAGCTGCTACCCGTGTCCCTGTAACATGTCCCCATCGTCCTCTGAGCTCTTACTTCCTGACAGACACATTAAGGTGTTGTAGGCTCATCTTGGGTGTTCCCAGCCCCCTGTCTTGATCACTTTATGGTTTTTGATGCTGTTGTAAAGGTTTTGTTTCTTAAATTTCATTTTCCATTTTGGTTTCCACTGCAGTATTCATAGCACCTCAGGGCTGGCCCTGTGGCCTTATCTTGGCTTCCTGCTTACATCCTGTGACTGTCTCCATCCTCAGAGTGTCCCCTCCTAGTTTGAGTAACTGCAGTGAATCTGAGAAGTCCTGCAGTCTTTCCAGTCTGTCCTTGTCATCTAAAACATCTCCATAGGTGTCGTGACAACCAGATGTTTGTAGGTATTTCTTTTTAGTTGTCATTCATTGACTGCTTATCTGGTTATTATTATTTTTTAAATTATAATTTTTTTGAGAAGGAGTCTCACTCTGTTGCCCAGGCTGGAGTGCAGTGGTGTGATCTTGGCTCACTGCAACTACCACCTCCTGGGTTCGAGCAGTTCTCTGCCTCAGCCTCCCGAGTAGCTGGGATTATAGGCGCCGCCACCACGCCTGGCTAGTTTTTGTATTTTTTAGTAGAGACGGGGTTTTATCGTCTTGGCCAGGCTGGTCTTGAACTCCTGACCTCATGATCTACCCGCCTCGGCCTGGGATTACAAGCATGAGCCACCGCCCGGCCTGGTTGTGTTTTTATAAGTCAGGGTCCTTTCCCAGACCTCCACATACAGCACTCTTTTTTTTTTTTTTAAACTAAAAGTGTTTTTTTGTATGGATGGGATCTCGCTGTGTTACCCAGGCTAGTCTTGAACTCCTGGCCTCAAGCAGTCCTCCTGCCTCAGCCTCCCAAAGCACTGGGATTTACAGGCATGAGCCACCGTGCTTGGCCAGCAACTAGCTTGTTAAGGATGTTTGGCCCCTACTCAGTGGGGTTGGTAAGCTCACCTCATCCTTTCCTTTACAGGATCTGTGGCAAATCCTAGCCCCCTTTGAATCCTTTTCAGACTTCGTTTCCCACAACACTCCTGTCAGAGTTAGCAGGAGAGTGGAAACAAGTACTAGATTATTTAGTAGACCCTAGATTTTCTCTACAAATGTAAAATGTTATTTTTACTGTTGAAAATCAGCATATGTGTAGTACAGAAAATTTAGGAAGTGGAAAAAGAAAAAAAAAAAGACTGGGAAACTACAACATTCTTAATGCCCTCTTATATTTATTCAATGAAATCTATGCACAAGTAGATCTAAGACAATTGAGTCAGGTTTAAAATGTAGTATGTTTTCCTTTCCTCTTCTTAGGAGCTCTTTAGCAGAAACATAGTAGCCAAGACATTTTAGGGAGCTTACCCAACTTTTTCTTGATATGTAGCAATAGAAAATGGTGTAATCAGAATGCAGTCAAAATTGCATTTGAATTGTAGTTTAAGTCATTTCTTTTTATTTGATTAATTTGCTTTATTAAGTATCTTCTGGATTCCGCTCTCCTATGCTTGCAAAATAGTAAAAGAGAACAAATTAGAAAGAGAAGAAAATATTTTCGCGAGAAATGACTGCTAGTTTTCATTAGCAGTTGTTAGTGCAATGACAGTTCTGATAAGGTTCCCAAGAGCACTCATTGCTACAGTGAGAACTCAGAATTCCATGGGTATCTTTTCGGGCTCGGTGGTTCACGCCTGTAATCCCAGCACTTTGGGAGGCAGAGGCGGATGGATTATCTGAGGTCAGGAGACCAGCCTGGCCAACATGGTGAAACCCCGCCTCTAGGAAAAATACAAAAATTAGCTGGGTGTGGTGGTGCATGCCTCTAGTCCCAGCTACCCGGGAGGCTGAGGCAGGAGAATTGCTTGAACCCAGGAGGCAGAGGTTGCAGTGAGCTGAGATCATGCCACTGCATTCCAGCCTGGGCAACAGAGTGAGACTCCATCTCAAAAAAAAAAAAAAAGAAAAAATTTCCTTGAGTTTCTTATGTTTTGTTAACTTTCTGTTATTTGTACGGTTGAAACCTCAGAGGATTAGGATAATTGCCTTTTCCAGTTTCCCTGAGCTGCTGAAAATAAACTTTCATATTTTTACTCTCCATACTCAGTATAGTTTACATCTTTAAAAGTGAACATTTATACATGTATTACTTACAAAAACACTCCCTTCTCTCAGTAAAGACCCAAATCAATCCACTAGCAAACTAGAACAAGAGAAGTTAGTGCTGGGTATCCTTAAATGTGTTCTGAGAATGATTTTATTTGCGGGGGTGGGGGGCGGGTGGAGCAGAGAGGATGCTTTGGTGGTGAAATAATTTTGGGGTGCTTGGGTTCTAAGAGGATCATGGTGTACACGAACACATCTGAAGGAAAGAAACCTGGCTATCTGTACCCGACATTTGTCAAACTTCACTGACCCGTGAGCCTTAATTTTGAATACAACCCCTTGGACATAGGGTTCTCTGGAGCCTCCTTTGAGAAGGACCAAAGTCTTGTAAAGAACGTTGAGTGTAGTTTTTGTCCCTGCTGCCACCACCTAATTTGTAAGGATGAGGGCATCAGTAGGTAGCTTGTAATCTTCATTGGGTTCTCAAATTTTAGGTGTGTGTACAACAGAGGTGTGTTTGGTAGAGGAAGGGATGACTGGGATCATGAGTTAAGGTCTTGCATACTGAGGTGGTGGGGCAGTTTCAGAGGGAACCAAAACATTTGTTGAGTCCCAGCTTTTCATCAGGACTCCTGTGCTTTGTGTCAGAAATAGATGCCATCCCTTTTTCTGTAGGAAGGAATTTATAGTTTGGAGAAGGTAGAGTTGGATTTGGAACCTCAGTTGGCCTGCGTTGAGAACTGCTGGTTTCCTGCTCAGTTAGGCCAGTTAGGGGGAAATAAGAAGACTGCCAAAACCTGTGGCTTGTGTCTCAGTTCCCTTTCTCCAGCCACTGCACCAGAGTTTGGGCGCCACACAGATGGTTCTCAGTGGCAGTTCGCAGAGCGGTCCTCATTTGGCCGGAAGCTACTCAGGCAGCCTCTGTTTCCTCACTTCAGCGGGGTGGGCTTGGGTGTGGGTGAAAGAGATAAGATATTTAGCAGTGAGTCATTTTTTTCTGGTAGTTTGACCTGGTTGCTTTGAGGATGATTGCTTCATCCTTTCTCGTACTTTACCCACTGTCCCTTAGGAAAATGGGGGTCCTGTCCGGCCAGTGTTGTTGGTATCTCAGGCCCTGTGGATGTGGGATTCTGCATATCTCTTGAACTGCCTGTTTCCTCCCAACCTCCAAAAGGTTATAATGTCCCCATTCTTCTATGAGTGACCAACATGGAATGCCATGTATGCTCAAAATATGATTTCTCATTGGCCCAGTGTTTGTAAGAAGAAACCTCTGATTTAGGGTGTGCTTCTTTATCTCCTGCATTTGGGGTTGGGATAGGCAGAAATCTGTTGGAAAAATTTTCCGCAGTGAAGGTTGGATGGGTGTTCTGTCCTGTTTTTAATTCTTTGACCACAGGACCTTTTCTCTTGTAAACACTTAAAAACCTCTAAGGCTAATGAGCAAAGCCTGGTGTGATGTATATTTTAAGGAAAGGTGTATAACAATACATGTGTACAAGGAGGGAAGCGGAGAAGGGCATGGGAGTAGAAGGGATCATTCCCCTGCAATTGGATAAGTGACATTTAAGCTGCATTCCATGTAAGCTTTTGGGCCTGGAAACCTTCCCCTCCCATCTTCCTGAGATACTGTGCTTGTTGTGAGCTCATTCAGAGTAATAAACTGTACCCGTAATTCATGAGCTTGCAAGGCCTTCTTTAACCGCTTGCAGCCAGGAGACTAATGACAACATTTAAAATTATAGATTGCTCATTTTGGAGTCTATCTGTTTCGAGTTATGAATGAAATTTCTTAGCCACTTACTGGACAGTAGAACCTGTTTGCAAAGACCCAGTGTCCTCATGTTGTGTGTGTGTGTGTGTGTGTGTGTGTGTGTGTGTGTGTGAGAGAGAGAGAGAGAGAGAGAGAGAGACAGAGAGGAGGGGTGGAGAAAGGGAGCAAGCAGTCCCCCCTTTATGTATGATTCTTAGAGGTGTTACAGGATGCAGTAACCATGAGGACTCTGGTGTTGCACAGAAGTTGAATTCTTACTTGGAAAGTTTAGGTCTGGGACGGAAGGGTGACAGAAAAAGGTTAAGGTTACCCACACTCTATCAGTGGTAGTTATCAATGAGTGACTGTTGGTAGACAGCAAGCAAATGATACTGGGGTAAGAAGGTTCTGGATATGAAAGAACTAGGTAAGATTGCAAATGTAGTCTCTCTATAAACCAGATACTCAAAAGCAAATGTTTAAAGCAGCGTATAAGTAACTGGGTTGTCCATAACTATTTCAGAAATGGCTACAATTACTCAAATCCCAGGTCTTTAAAAATTCCAAAGGAACAGCAAGGGCCACATAAAGAGGAAAATCTGCAAAATGGTAGGGTGGTACCTGAGTTAGCAAATGGGAACTTGAGCTCTTCTTTACTATAAAATTTTTTTCTTTTTTCACAGAGTGCCGAGAGTATTAGCAGACCTTTAATGCATTTGGAAGTGACACCATATTAATCATGTGGATTTCACTTTCTGTCATGAGTTCTATACATTTTGGCTTGAAATCAGTCATCAGTGTGATATTCAGAGGTTTACTACATCTCATTCATACCTTTATTTTTTTTCTAGCCCTCTCACCCGGGTTTCATCTGAGTGACTAGAAGTGGCGTTTATTTATTGACTGTGGAGGTTAACTTACACTGATGGATGATTGCAGTCCATTTTCCACTAAGCGAGTATTACATGAAATGAGTATTGTTGACCACATTTTATTTTCTCTTGTGGAATTAACTCAATAGTCTGTAAGTCCTTAAAAGTAGTTTTTGTGGGGTAAGTCTCTTCCTTTTCCCATAGTGATTTGATAGGAAGACTGAGTGAAAAACAATAGTTGTCTTGTATATTTGAAACGTGAGGAAAATTATGTGGATACTCAAGCATTAAATTCAAATCAGTAAATGGGGCTGCCCTCTTTGGTATGTTGGTAAACATGTTTTATTATTAGCTTGAGAAGGAAATGCCTGGTATAGTGACTAAGACTGTAATAGGGAAAGAGAACTACTTTTCTGGAGCAGTAAAAGTTTTGACTAATATAGATGATCAGTGTTTGTGAATTTTACGTTGGTATGTGTTTTTGGTCATTGGTAACTTAACAGAAAAGTATATGTCAAGAGAAAGAATAGTTTATAGCTCTTTGGACATAGGAGGGAAACGTGATACCTTTTCATCTTTCTGAATGAAAGATGATGATTCCTGATCTCAAGTCTTCATTTTACAGGTATTTTACCATTATTACCAACATGTTACTTGAAGAGTAATGAAGAGGCCGGGTGCAGTGGCTCATGCCTGTAATCCCAGCACTTTGGGAGGCCGAGGTGGGCAGATCACCTAAGGTCAGGAGTTCGAGACCAGCCTGGCCAACGTGCTGAAACCCCATCTCTACTAAAAATACAAAAATTAGTTGGGCGTGGTGGCGTGCGCCTGTAATCCCAGCGACTCAGGAGGCTGAGACAGGAGAATCGCCTGAACCTGGGAAGCGGAGTTGCAGTGAGCTGAGATTGCGCCACTGCACTCCATCCTGGGCGACAGAGCGAGACTCTGTCTTGGGAAAAAAAAAAGAGTAAGGAAGAGAAAGCTTTCCATTGTTGACTTAGTAGTTCAAAGCCTAATGGTGTTTTTGCCTTGATAATCAGGAAGATTTATTCCTATGCTTTATATTGATTGTGGTCACTGTACTTTCTTTTACATGTTTTCTTACTTTGCTAGATTTGTTAATTTTTACGGTGACCCACTTTTAGTTAAGTGAGAATTTCTTTCTAAATCAGGCTGTCCATTGCCTAGGATAGCCAACCTTAAGGCAAAGGATAACATATAACCTCATTTTGTATCTGTTTATTGTGATCACAGGTTATTTGGTGGTTATTTATTTTTTATTTATTTTTTGAGATGGAGTCTTGCTATGTCGCCCAGGCTGGAGTGCAATGGCGTGATCTTGGCTCACTGCAACCTCCGCCTCCTGGGTTCAAGCGATTCTTCTGCCGCAGCCTCCCAAGCAGCTGGGATTATAGGCACCTGCCACCATGCCCAGCTAATTTTTGTATTTTTTAGTAGAGACTGGGTTTCAGGTTGGTTTCGAACTCCTGACCTCAGGTGATCCACCCACCTCGGCCTCCCAAAGTGCTGGGATTATAGGCATCAGCGACTGCACCTGGCCCAGGTGGTTATTTTTCAAAGTGAGCAATGGTTATTAAGTTAAATGACACAGGATTTTGAGTAAATTCGAAGTTATGCCAGGAATTATAATCCTAATTGATAATTTATAAAGGTAGCCTACAGAATTTTAGGTCTTACTGTGACAAACTAGTAGCAACTGGTTCCTCGACCAGCTTTCTGGTGGAATGTGTGATGATGATGTAAGGCATTCATCCTATAGGTAGCGCACCTCGAACTTGAACATTCATAGGCATCACCTGGGGATCTTGTTGAAATGTTGCACATTCTGGGGTTCATTCTGTTTCAGGCAGGGCCTGAGGGTGTGCCTTTCAGATAAGCTCCCAAGTATGCTACTGCTTTGCCTTGAGTAGCAAGGCTATGGGCAGTAATCCTGCACGGGCAGTGTGGCTGGCCAGAGGCTTATTGCCTCTCATGCAAAGCCACTTAACTCCTGGCCTTCCCTCTTTGGTGGGTGCTTTTTAAGCCTTAGGGCTTCTTTAAAGTCCAACATTTTTGTTCATAGGCTTTCTATACATTTATTGGAAGCACTGTTTAATATGCTTCTCACCTCTTTGCCCAGCCAAATAATACCCAATGTGAGAAGAGTTGCTCCTCCTTTGTTATTATTTCAACAATGTGATTAAACAATTTGGGAATGCTTTGAATACTGACCTCCGCTCCCAAGGACAAAACCCAAACTCAATCACTATTAAACAAAACAAGCTTGTTGAACAAGGAAATAGAAGTTTTCAACAATTTGACAGTGGTATTTCAGGTGCAGAGGTTACTGTTTGTATTATTAGTGTAAGGTGCCTTCTTTTTAGTTCACCTGGGCGAATCCTGGCTGCAAGTTTAATAATCGGTAATCTTGAAACCAGCATTAAACCCAGGGCATAATTTAGTGGTTGGGAGCACTGGGTTGAGACCTCAACAACAGTGATAATTCGTTTAAGCTGTGTGACTCTAGGCACGTTGCTTATGTTCTCTGGGCCTCTGTTTCTTCAGCTGAGAGATAATCACAGTCTCAACCTTGGTCTGGGTTGCTGTGGGGATTAAAGGAGGTAATAAATGTCAACTGCTGTAAACAGTCCTAGAGTAAGTGCAGGTGATAGTGGCTACTCCCGCTAATAACCAGCCTTGATAACCAGCTGAGGGCGCAGGGCTCAGGAGCCTCAGGATCAGCTGCCCATCTCGCTGCGCAGCCTCAGTTGTCCCAGCCTCCTTTTGCTCCTTTTCCTCCCTCCTGGAGCTGGTGGTAGAGAATGGACATAATTTGCTGATCCCCCCCCCCCCCCCGCCCACCCACTGTAACTTGGTTAGTTAAACCTGCACTTTTTGGTAAAATCTGGAGAGGTGATAATTTATTCACTTTTTTTAGAGGACTCTAAAGCCAGAGGATTCTAAGCCTCCAGGCCACCTCTCCCAGTCCGTCCAAGTTGCAGACACCAGAGAGCAGCCAGCTCATGGTTACAGTCCTTCTCTGAAGCAGCCAGACAATCATCGGAAGGCCCTTCACAGACTCCCATATCTAGATGAGTGATGCTTTACTTTTGACCTTTGTAGCATGGCCTTTCCCCCTCTAACCCTTTAATCATCTCTTTAAAAAAATCAATCAACAAATATTTATTGAACGTTTCCTTGTAGGCTTTAAAATCCACCCATAGGCTGCTCTGTGACTCTTAAGGATTTCTGCCCTGCATCCAGAGAGAATGCAGTAGCTCTGGCCAATTTACTTAGTATCTGCTTTCTTAGATTATGAGCATTTTCTGTTTTTCCTGGGAGTCCATGGGTGTGTCCAGTGCTGGCAGGGGGCACCATCAGGTTGCAAGGTTGAGGTGGTGCATCTTATCTGCTTGGTGAGGTGCAGGGAGGGGTGGAGCAGCTGTTTCCAGCATGTGTTTCGCTCTCTTTATTGGCCCTTTCAGCTGACTGCTTTTTACAACCAGTTATGATGGAACATTTAAGACTTGTTTTGGGGTCACCACAACCAAGTTTTCTCTTCTCACTGATTGGCAGGAGGGGTGCCCACTGGGAGCCAGCACAAGTCTGGGATTTTTTGGTTGGACAGGGTTTCTTGCCTGCAGTTTCCAGCTGGTAAATGAGCCTGGGCTTGAGGAAGTTGTCAAAGGCCTTCCATCTTTTAAATCTTGGCCATGTAGCTGGTATTGTTGAAGAAAACGTGAAGAAGGATTTTAAGAAATGGCCATTGAAGATTGATGTTGGCCGGTCATCCTGCACACTGTCCCTCCTTTATGTAGCGTAATGCAGGATTTCTTATTCAGAGAGCAACTCCGCTGTGGGCCTACCCCAGGAGAAAAGGGTGCAGGGAGGGTGCTGGCTCTGGCTAATTCTGTCACTCCACTTTGGAGAGGGGAAAAGCCTCCTGAGCAGCTGAATGCCTTTGGTTGTTTCCAGTTTTCGCCACGCTAAATTTCATTCCCCATCCTCCTCCTCTTGCCCTACAACATAGCTTAGCTTAGAGTTAAAATTGGTTTCATTCTTTAGTGCTGTTTCTTTCTCTTCTTGTTTGCATTTGTGGATGAGTTTAGATTCAAACTAGAATGTGGTTCTGATGTGTGAGTAAAAGCACCTCATTTTCCCCTAACCACAGCCTCATCACTGGGTACTTGGCAGAAGCAGACACCATTGTTGACTGAAAATAAATGGAGTTCAAGGGGTCTTCAGGGTTCTTGGCCTTGATTCCTCCCCACCCCCATCTCTTTGGAGCACCCCTCCAATATCTAATTGTTAACATTCTGTGTGTGAGAGATGTATTATGTATTAACTGTTTAAATAAAGTCCTGTGAATTCCTTGGACAGTGTATTATGAATTTACAAGGGAGTTCACTATATCTTTAGGTATTTGTGTTATATGCATTATCTTACCCATTAATACATTATTCTGAACTTTTGTAAGGAAATAGTTTTCTACTATTCATCTGTGGTTTTGGTTACAGTTTTTAAAATGCAGAGACAAATTTCAGTTCCATTTCTGGTGGCCCACTTGTGGGACCAAATCTATCTTTCTAAACGTCAGATTTTTAGAAGCTCTACCAGCAATCCTCGAGGCTTACAGTTTTCCCGGGTTTCTGTTGGCAAGTAACTTCAGCTTTTCGTACTTTGAGATCACAAGTGGCAGACGCTCTTAAGTGCGTCACAGTTAGGTTGTTAAGATTTGAGGGGGACAATCTCCTTTGGTGTCGAGTTCATCATCCACAGCAGTAGGAACAACAAAAACTCAAGAATTCCTTCCCCCTGCAGTGAGCCAGCCAGCCTCTTTTCTCATTAACAACATAGTCATATTTCTTTTTTTTTTTTTTTTTTTTTTTGAGACGGAGTTTTGCTCTTGTTGCCCAGGGTGGAGTGCAATGGCACAATCTCAGCTCACTGCAACCTCTGCCTCCTGGGTTCAAGCGATTCTCCTGCCTCAGCCTCCCGAGTAGCTGGGATTACAAACGCCTGCCACACGCCCAGCTAATTTTTGTATTTTTAGTTAGTAGAGACAGGGTCTCACCATGTTGGCCAGGATGGTCTTGAACTCCTGACCTCAGGTGATCCGCCCGCCTCGGCCTCCCAAAGTACTGGGATTACAGGCGTGAGTCACCGTGCCTGGCCCAACACAGTCACATTTCATAAGGATCATACTGTTTATTTAGTCCACATTCTGGGGAAAGGGGAAAAATACCATCTTCCTTAAACTTAATTTTTAGGTACTTAAAAATTTTTTTTGACTTTTGTTAAAACCTAGGAGTAAAACACAAGGGGCAAGTGGAGTGAAGGAAAATGGAAGGTGGGGAAATAGGCAGCTTATTTTTTTTCCTGACCTTACCCATTGTACTTTGAAGTTAATATATATATTTTATATTAATTACATTATTATATATAATCAATTATATTAATGTATATTATATATATATTTTTAACATTAAAAAATTTAGACTGGGCGTGGTGGCTCATGCCTGTAATCCCAGCACTTTGGGAGGCCGAGGTAGGCGGATCACAAGGTTAGGAGTTTGAAACCAACCTGGCCAACACAGTGAAACCTGTCTCTACTAAAGGTACACAAAAAATGAGCTGGGCGTGGTGGCAGGCGCCTGTAGTCCCAGCTACTCAGGAGGCTGAGGCGGGAGAATCGCCTGAACCCCGGAGGTGGAGGTTGCAGTGAGCCGAGACAGTTCCACTGCACTCCAGTCTGGGCTACAGAGTGAGACTGTGTCTCAAAGAAGAAGAAAACATTTTTTCCTGTTGCCCAGACTGGAGTGCAGTGGCGCTCACTGCAGCCTCTGCACCCCCGGATTCAGGTGATTCTCCTGCCTCAGCCTCCCTAGGAGCTGGGATCACAGGCATACGGCACCATTTTCGGCTAAGTTTTGTATTTTTAGTAGAGATGGGGTTTTGCCATGTTGCCCAGGCTGGTCTCAGACGACATCAGGTGATCTTCCTGCCTGTGACTCCCAAAGTTCTGGGATTACAGGCGTGATCCCAGTTTTGTTTTGTTTTTAGTACATTGCAATTAATGTTTACATTCAAACTTTAAAATTCCTTGGATCTTTGTTTTCGGGATGGGGTTGTGGTTCTTCTCCCCCACCAGAAAATGTGATTTAGCTGCCTCATTTTTGGTATTTTTCTTCTCTGATGACTTACCTCTATTGAAAACTTTGTAGTCTGTGGGGAGAAATTTTGTATGTTTCTGTACTTCAGCTACTAGGTTCTCCCTTTACTTATGTGATTAGTTTAATTTAAGATTTATTACTAGGAGCTCATGAGAAATATGTTCATTGCCCAAATTTGCTAGGATAGCAGAGCCTAGTTTCATCTAATTTGCAGAGTTCATTCTCATGCATAATTCATCGGTCCAAGAAATACAGACTCCCAGCCAGCGTAGCTTAAAACTTAATGATTTTCTCAGGAGCCAGTCAGGTGTCAACTAAAACAAGCACTTGATAAGCTATAGACCCTGACATGGTTTTGTTCTGCTCAAAACTTTCGAGTTTCCATTCTAATCTTGATGCACAGAATGGTTGGTAACGGTTCTTCCTCCTTAAATTTTTCTGGTTTTCTGAAAGGGTGCAGGGAATACCCTCACCCCTTAGCAGCTTCTAGTCCTCTTCCTTAATCCTTTACCTGTTTTCTCATTATTATACTAGTGAATTTTGTTTAATTCCTTTGTGCTGGTTTGGAACAAGTGCCATGTTAAATATCATTTCTATGATGGAGTGCATTCTAGGTTTTAAACTGCAGGTTTATAAATGAACTTTTAGAAGGTGGGCGATTTGAAAGTGATTCTGTGTGGAAATAGAAGCCAGAGGGGCCAGATTCAAAGGCCATCTGGATCTGGAGCCTCATTTATTGTCACCAAGAACTGGATGTTTGTGCTGTTTGTCATTTCCCTCAACTCAGCCTCTCTAAGGATAATGGCTTTTCACAGAAGCCTAAATGTAATGCTTTCTTCATTCCCTTACTTCCCTTTAAAATCTTGCATATAAACATTGATAGAAATCCAGAAAGAGAGAGTCCTGTTTTCTCCCCTGTGGTTAAATAGTGACGGTTGATCTACTGAATACCTTCCTTCCTTAAAAACAACGAGATTAGGTAATTACAGCAAATGTGGTCATTAGCCTCATCTGCTCTTATTATCTTATTATGTATTTGTTACTGTGAGAGCCAAAAGATGTGAGGATAAGCCAGACTCTCCCTACTTTGAAAAGACAGGAATTGTAAAAACACGTGGTCACTAATGGAATCTGCAGTTTGATCCACCATGACTTTTGCTTACTGGTGAAATTGGTTTTCTTATATTTTGTCAACAGTAAATAGGCTGTGTGCTTGGATAATAGTTAGGCTAATATAGGAAAATTTAATCATGGCTTTTCTCAAGTTTAATTTGAAAGAGTGCAGTGGGGAAGTCCCCTGCAGGGTGGAAATCGTAGTAGTTGAACATGAGTGACCTTTTTGGTTGACTGACTGCCCTTCCTGTGAAGCTGGCCCAATATCTTTCCCCTGTCAGGATTACTTCCTGTCTCAGCCTGAATAGTTTAAGTAGCTGCAAGATTGATGTTGGATATCTCTGGGAAAATTCCATTCTCTTGAATTTAGCTGACAGAGTACCTCTTTCATTTCTTTCATTGTGTTCCATTTTTGACCTCGGAAGGAACTAAACATTATTTCTCATCCAACAGACTCATTGTTCATCATCTTTGGGCTTAAAAATCCTGTGTTCCCTCAGTTATTTCTTTTATGAAGGTTTCAGGTGCCTCATTATTCTCTATGTGGAGACTGTGTTAGTGTCTTTAAAAATCGACATTCCATGTTTTAAGCATCTAGTATACATTATAAGTAGTGTGATATTTTGCATCCATTTCACTCAGCCACCCTGCTTCTAGGAATTTGGCCACAAGGATGTGTAGTAAGTATTTTACTGTGTATCCCAGTGAAAAATGGAAACCAATAGGGGATTGGTTAAATTATGGAACGTCTGTTCCGTGCAGTCATTAAAATGAAATGGTAGCAAGAATGTTGACTGACATAAAATAAGTGAAAAAAGCAAGTGAGAAAACAGTATTTACAGTTTAATTTTTTTGTCTTATCTTGGAAAATTTAGTAAATATATGTATACATATAATATATAAAGCATACATATATAAACGTGTGTGTGTGTGTGTATATATATATATGTATGCTTTGACAAATGAAGTGGTGGTGTAGGCACAGGTGGGAGGGGCAACTAATCCACACTGAGGGATGACAGAAGGCTTGAAGGACAGGGATTAGCCAGGTGAAGATGGGATTGGCCAGTAGTGTGTTCCAAAGTGAAAGTGGAAAGCCCAGAGGTGAGAAGTGGCTTGGAAGAGTTTAGGAAGAGGGATGGATGCTCAGGAGATAAGGCTTATCTATATTTTCTCCAGGAAACGTGTATTACTCTGTAATAAACAAAAAAAATGGTACCTAGAAAGCTTCTTCTTCCAAAGAAGAAAGTCAAGGAAGCAGCAGGAAAACAGATTGCTTTGTTGCTTTAAGGCTGTGGATTTTGGACTCTTAATGAGATTAAGGCCAGGGAGGCTTTCCCAGGTTGGCTGGATGGGCTGGGGCTGGGTGTCTCTGGTGAAACAGATGAATTCCAGATAGGTAATTTAATTTCCAGAGGTGCCGCACAAATGCCTTTGCCTCCTGCTACTGGTTAGAGCAAAACAAGCATGTGATTTATGTAAAAATACATGAATATTAGTTTTTATCAAAACCCTGCAGAAGAAAAACAGTAGAAAAAATGATACTTCCTGCCATAGCCTCTTTGTGGAATGAAATTAAGAAAATCAATATTCTTTACAAATGACTAGTCACAGTGGAACTGGTCTGTTGAACCTACCCTTTGTAGATAGCATTAATACATCACCCTCTCCCACATTACTCCAACCATAACAGAAATAGTGATTTACATAGGAAAATGCGAGCTGAATTAAACAAGGATGGCCCTGAATTCTGCTGTAGGGATTCTTAAGATGGCACAAGCTAGGCTGTGAATGCCTTGGCCTCCCCTCTTCTCCCCTGTTTCTGGGTCATGCTCCCCTCTGGATTTCTTGCTGGGTAGTTCTGGAGGGAAGGGGATGCCCTTCTACATAAGCATCTGCAGGTGCAGAGATGGGATGGGCCTAAGTGTTCTGAGATCTTCCAGGAGATGGGATTTCAATCTCCAGAATTCCCATCCCCGCTTGGCTCTTTGGTGGCCCAGTTCTGGAAGTTGAGATTTAGACCAAGATTATAGTCTTAAAATAAATCTTGGATGTGACTCCTGCCAGGATGACTTGTAAATAATTTCGTGCCAGAAACCGAGCTGACTTTGGTTTGTGGGCTGGAGGTGGCTGATTCCAACTCTGGGAATTCATTCTAATTTTTGGTGCCCTGTTCACCCTGAGTTGTCTTCTCACGGCTGCCTGCCCAGTCCCTGTGTGGGAATGGGAACCGTCATAGAGTGAATATGAGGACTTCACATCCTTTGGGATGCGGGTATTTTAGTTCCAGGGCTAACATGGCACGTTGGCAGTGAGATAGTTGCTATAATAATTCTCTAATAAGCTGTTGGTCTCAGAGACCCTTCCGCGTGGCGTATCAATGGGGCTTGTGACAGTAGGAGTTGGGATCTTAGAGGATTCATATCACCCTTGCTCCTAATCCAGTAACCCCTAGCAGTGCCCATCACCAGCCTCACACCACCTTGTACCAGTCTTGGGCATGGTGAGTCTCTCTGGTACACTTTTACATTAGAAAAAGTCTGAAGAGGCTGGGCACGGTGGCTCATGCCTGTAATCCCAAAACTTTGGGAGGCCAAGGCGGGCTGATTACCTGTGGTTGGGAGTTCGAGACTAGCCTGACCAACATGGAGAAACCCCATCTCTACTAAAAATACAAAATTAGCCAGGCATGGTGGCGCATGCCTGTAATCCCAGCTACATGGGAAGGCTGAGGCAGGAGAATCGCTTGAACCTGGGAGGCGGAGTTTGCGGTGAGCCGAGATCGCGCCATTGTACTCCAGCCTGGGCAACAAGAGCGAAACTCCGTCTCAAGAAAGAAAGAAAAAGAAAAAGTCTGAAGACTTGTGAGCAAGCCTTTTCTCTCCCACAGGTAAATATTCGATCTGCCTTTCTGCACAATACAAAAGCAAAGTCCTTAACACAAGCCACAGATGGCACTCTGATTCGGCTTGCAAAAAAGGTAACTGTTTTTTTTTTTTCTTTTTTCTTGTAATATTTTCCTTAAAAAATTTTTTTCCTCTTAATACCCTAAGCCCCAAAAGGGAGTTTGTATTGTAAAATATTCTTTAATAAGTCACTTTTAACTACGTGAAACTGGGGGGAATTTTCCACATTTGGACCAGGTCCCTGGATTGTATTGCCAGAGGTGTGGCTTTTGGCATTAACTTTTATTTAATTTGGATGGCTACTTTCTAGAGAAATCAATTTAACCTAAAAAATTGTCATAGCTCATTCTACATATGCACCCCTACTGTTCTAGATTTAAAAAACAAAAACAAAAGCTTTCTAAGTCAGTTTTGATTTTGAGACGGAGTCTTGCCCTGTCACCCAGGCTGGAGTGCAGTGGTGCGATCTTGGCTCACTGCAGCCTTCACCTCCCAGGTTCAAGCAGTTCCCTTCCTCAGCCTCCCAATTAGCTGGGATTACAGGCGTTTGCCACCACGCCTGGCTAATTTTTGTATTTTTAGTAGAGACAGGGTTTCACTGTCTTGGCCAGGCTGGGCTCGAACTCCTGACCTCGTGATCCACCCGCCTCGGCCTCCCAAAGTGCTGGGGTTACAGGCGTGAGCCACCATGCCCGGCCTCAGTTTGGATTTTTAAAAAACCAATCTTATTGAAGTAAAATTTATACATGCAGCCATTTCAGGTGTACACTGTGATAACTTATGACAACTGCACACATCTGGGTATTACCATCCCATCAATATATGCACCTCCTGTCACCCGAGAAAGCTCCCTTGTGCTCCTGTCCTGTGCCCCCATGCCAGCGCCGACCTGCCTTCTTGCACTGTAGATTAGCTTTGCCTGTTGTAAATGCCATATAGATGGAAGCACTTTTGTGTCTACATCCCTTCACTTTGCTTTGAGATTCATCCAGGCTGTGTGTATGGTTTGTTCCTTCCTGTTATGGTTCAGTAGTCTCCTCTCTTTCTGTCTTTCTGTGTTCTTCCTGTGACTCACTCATTGTCTGTGTTTCTTTTTTTCCCTGTAAGCCTGGCCTGGTCCTTTCGTGATTCCCTGTAGTCTTTTTCTCAAGTGGGCATTAAAGCAACCTTATCTTTCACACACACTGAAAGAACCTAGTAACTGAGAGATGATCCAGCCAGATTCTGCCCTTACCTTTACCCCTCACCACCCCACTAGGGGACAAAACAAGCAAATATACTGACTGACCCAAGCCTTGTTGTTCCGACGAAAACACTGGCGTTCAGCATCTTTCCCGCAAACCGAGCTGCAGCCTCCAGTTTCAGAATAGTGCCTTCCATAAAATCTGTGGGAGTTTTCCGTTTATGTTGCTTGTTTTTAAACAATCTTCTTGGAAAAGAATTCAGTGCTGTTAATGGATTGCCGTCGGAGCTTTTTTTACATTACACCTGTCCTCTGCTTCCTGATCTCCTTTTGATGGTTAGGGAGAATATGTTGACTTAGAATAGCAAGGAGCCATGGCACCCCAAGGAAACAGGAAAAATCTCAGTTTTCATGGATGAGAAAGTCCCATTCTATTGTCTGTGTGTGCCTGAGTATGTACACTGTAACATCTCATTTTTAGTTGTATGAAGAAAGCGCTGTGGCTGAGAACCAGTGTTTGGAGGTTGGGGTAGGGTAGCCTGGGTTCATAGTCACTACATATCCCAGCTCCCCAAGCCCTAGGAGGTACTGCACAAGCAGTACAGACAGGGTCTTGCATTTGTGCCTCTTCACTGGTGACTTCCCATTTTGAAGAGTGCCAGCTTTTCTGGGAAGTCTGCTGCCAACACTGAGCCGAGCCAGGGTTGCTGTTCACATCTACGCAGGCTGTTGGTGCCGCGGCAGCATGCTGTCCTTGAGAGCACTGTGGAATTTGCAGTGTGCCGTACAGATTCAGAAATGGTGTATGTTTCTTGTGGCATTAGTGTTTTGACTTGCAAATCTGGAAAAGAACAGGAAGTCTTGGTGGAAACACTCTCTGGCTGATGTATAGAAACCTGTGGAGTTAACTGCATTTTAAGCACCAATTATTAGAAAATGAATTTCTTCTTACTTGGGGAGATTTCTTTCAGATCTTAAATACATTTGTCATCTAAACCTCTTCTCCTAGGGGCAGATGATCCCTGCCTTGGGCCTAGGAGAGTAGACATTGGTAATTACCTTTGGCCTGTGTCTCCCCAAATATCCTTATACCTTCTGCTGGCCCATGGCTGTCTAGAAGCCCTCATGGAGGTGCTGCTTTTGTTTTTATCTCTTCATTTGGGGAGAGGATACTGCATCTGGACCCAAGGCCCAAGGTGTCCTGATGTTGAGTCCTTCCAATTCTGGGTAGCCATGAACAGTGATGCTGTTCATAGATAAGGTCAAAGGGACGGGCTTAAGGTTAAGCTCAGTTAGTGGATGGCAGAGGCTGTATTCAAATTAATCTTGATCCACTCTGCAGGTTGCTGTGGCTCCTGTTTCCCCCACTCCTGTGGTCTCCTGCTGTGATTCTGTCAAATTACCCATTTATTTATAACATTTGCCACTACTTCAAATACTTTGTTATTTATGTGGTTTTGGCTTTCTCTGCTAGAATATAAAGTAATACAATAATTTAAAAAAAATGAAGAGCAAGACTCTTTTTGTTCTTGAGGTGAATCTTCTTGCTTATAAATTTACCCCAAGCACCTGGAACAGTGCCTGGCATGTGGTACTTAAGTATTTGTTAAAATAATGAATAATAAGTAAACGGCATTTTGAAAGTTGCTGTCATTCAAATTATGATTTGTGGTGTTAGAGTTCTTATAGGCAGGGCTTAGTTTTAATAAATGACATTGAGAGCTAGTTATAAATCATACATTAGACATAGTTTAATCAGTTTGGTGCTTGTGTATAGAAGCGGACAGAACCCTGGAGATACAGTTGAGGCCTCTTCAGTGAGAGGAGGGAGGAAACTTGCCTTGGAACAGTGTCACAGACAATCCATGGTACATAGATGCCAGAGGTAGACACTGTAGGTTAGGGAAGGTTTGGGGACTGTGAAATGAATGGGCAGCAATAATTAGTGAAATATTATAAATTGCCTTTATTACTGTTGGTTTCCCGACTGCTTCAGTAAAACCAAAAAATACGCACATACTTAGCCTGATGTGTTTAGTTGGGGTTGCCGTTATAGAAAAGCCTTTCAGAAGATACAGAAGAGTGATCCTTTCAGCAGCACATATACTAAAATTGGAATGATACAGAGAAGATTAGCATGGCCTGTATGCAAGTATGACACAGAAATTTGTGAAGCATTCCATATTTTTATGTATTGGAAAATCAGGTTTGGATTATGCAGTTTCTAAAATTGAAGAATATTTCATCCTTACCAATATGTTTTGAATAGTATTTTGCCTTAGAAATAATTTTTACATACTAAATAATACGTATATTAATGAAGAACAAAAGGAAACGGAAGAGCAACGTGCTTGTCCAAAAATTCTCCATGTGTATAAGTGAATTGATTCTGCCAGAAAGAAGAGTTTAGACATGTTTTTATTGCAAACAACTTCCTTCAGATGCCAGGTAGTAGACAATCTACAGGACTAGGGAGGATGAGAGATGTCCCTTTAGAATGCTGTTTGAACCCATGATGGATTAATTACGAAGGTTGATGCCCATCTATACCAGCTGGCTTTCCAAGATTTATTTGACCCGTTGCTTTGTCTTGGAGAACTGCAGTCTCTCTCATATAGCTTTGATCTTTACTGTGGGAATCATAGTGCAGTCAGTACACCATAGGGTCAAGTGCTCAGTCTGCCATTTTAACACAGAAAACTTACATATTTAGAAGTAGTCACGTATCTAGAGTGTGACTGGACTACCTGAATAATTGAGATGAGATACGGTCAAAAAAGTGAGATATCTTCATCTGCTTCAGGTGGCTTTTAGGCTGCAAATCCCTAGAAGTTGTGGTTGTCCGGAAGTTACCAAAATAAATGAGTGGTGTTTCGCCCAATTCTGTTTTTTCAAGTTCTGTTTCAAGTTCTGTTAAAATTGTTAGCAGAACTGGGAAAGTGCGTTAATGAAGCAAGCAAGTCCTGTAGTGTGTGCTAACTGGGCCCAGTGTGCCGTCCATACGTTGAGTACGTTCATTAGTGATTTCAGACATGAGTTTCTCAGGGCTCCCAAATTTATGGAAGAAGTAAGTGATGACTTCCAAATTCTTTGTCTTCAGATTGATTTAAAGTGACTGAGGGCATAAGCTGGAACCAAGATTAGAAAGAACACAGTTTACACGAGTCCTGCTTCCTTTTTTTTTTCATCCCGTGAATGTTATCTTCAGTATTTTCTCAACTAATACGAAAAGTACCACTGAAGTGGGGTCTGCTGGCTTGAAAACATGTGTGAAATACAGATTCTATGGGTTTTTTTTGACATGGAGTCTCACTCTTGCCAAGGCTGGAGTGCAGTGGCACGATCTCTGCTCACTGCAACCTCTGTCTGCCTTCCGGGTTCAAGCGATTCTCCTGCCTCAGCCTCCCTAGTAGCTGGGACTACAGGCACACGTATTTTTAGTAGAGACAGGGTTTTTGAACTCCTGAACTCAAGTGGTCTGTCCACCTCGGCCACCCAAAGTGTTGGCGTTACGGACATGAGCCACCATACCCGGCCAGATTCTATGCTTCTGTCTCAGATTCAGTTGCTACCCTACAGAGGTGGCCAGTTAGGAGTGTTTCATAATGAAGATTATGTCTTTAATCATTGTGAGGTTTGTGGCTGAGGACAGTAGTCCTTATGCTTGTGCTGGTTAGAAGTAAAGAAATTTTGGACTGTTCTTGCTATTTTTTTTGAGATGGAGTCTCTCTCTGTCGCCCAGGCAGGAGTGCATTGGTTTGATCTCAGCTCACTGCAACCTCTGCCTCCCAGATTGCTGGGATTACAGGCACCCACCACCATGCCCAGCTAATTTTTATATTTTTAGTAGAGACGGGGTTTCACCATGTTGGCCAGGCTGGTCTTGAACCCCTGACCTCAGATGATCCTCCTGCCTTTGCCTCCTGAGTGCTGGGATTACAGGCAAGAGCCAGTGCACCTGGCCCACTGCTATTGTTTTTAACACAGCTTTGAAAGCAGTATGATTTGGTTAATAGGATGGCTACAGCCAGACACCCTGGGTTTGAATCTCAGCTCTCTATGGAATGACCTTGGGCAAGTCATTTAGCCAGCCTGTGCTTCAAGTTGCTTGTGTAAAATGGGGATAATAGTACCTTTGTTATAGAGTTGCTGTGGGGTTTCAATGAGTGTACTTTTGGTCTAGAATGAATCTTTTGTAGACAGTCTTGAGTATAATGGGTTGTGATTTTGTGCTTCTTGTCCCATCAGTTATTTATAATTAGCAATGGTACTTTGTTGCATGTACTTAATTTGATTTTATCTATTTAGCAGTAGAATTTTTTTTCATCAGAAATAATTTCTTCCTGTCCCTCTGTGAAATCCCCTTGAGAAAGGGGTAAGAAATAGCTCTGAGGACCAGTTGAAAAATAATCGATCTGAAACACAACAGACAATATTAACATGTCAGTTTTTTCTGTTTTGCAGGAAAATGCAAGTCTCATTTAGGATAATAGTTTGATTTCCTGAGGTGGTTATGGTTATGGTTTTGTGTAACTGAGAGTCATTTAAAGGTGATGCATAGGTTTGCAGGTAGAAATACAGTTTTGTTTGAAATCTGGGGTGTTCAACCGACATTGTGGTAAGAGTAATTTCCCCCAAAACTCCCTAGGAAATTTTTACCTTTTACTTCAGTAGACCTGGAGTCTTGCCTCTTGAACTGAAAGTGAGGTTGAACTTCATCCGTAAAGGTGAGTTTTCCCCAAAGGTACCTGAATGCTTGCCGTGTAACTGATGGGTCCATAGTCCACTGCCAGAAGGTACCCTCTTGCGTCTCGGAGGTGCTGGTTCTGAAGTATCTTTTTTGAGTTTTAGTTGGAGTTTCTCTTGTTGAGAATTTTGAATCTCAGAAAATGCCATGGCTGCGTGGGTGTTTGTTTTAGCTCCACACCCTTCATCTTCAGGGTGGATGCACCCTTGGGTGGCGTTGCACACAGCTGGCGCGTGGAGAGCCGATCCCTCCAGGGTTTGTTTCTTTAATACCAGACCCGCTCCCACAAAACTGGTGTATTTAGGCGTCCCCTCTTCTCCTGTGTTTGTTGCTGGCCAGCAGTGCCTGCAAGTTCCAGCAGATGAGGTGAGGATGGACAGTGAGGTAGAGGCTAGTCTGTTTGCCTGGGTTCACTGAAGTTGCTAGGTTTTGAGTTTGCTCCAGATTAGTGAATATATCAGCTGTGAGAATAAGAGTGATTAAAGCATGGTGGCGCATGCCTGTAGTCCCAGCTACTGGGGAGGCTGAGGCAGGAGAATCACTTGAAACCTGGAGGCGGAGGTTACAGTGAATCGAGAACCCTGCCACTGCACTGCAGCCTGGGTTACAAGAGCAAAACTCCGTTTCCAAAAAAAAAAAGATTAAACAAATAGGACTTCTCCATTTGTATTTAAACTTCAAAGAGAAAGCTGAACTCCAAGGCCCAGCTGGAGGACACGTGGATCCAGCCAGCATGTTAGATGTAGGCAATTGGAGAAGGACAGGGAGACAGCAGTGAGGTGCAGGGGGATGAGGCACATAGTTGTCTACATGAAACAGGCAGATCTTTGTTTTCGTATACCTAGAATAGTTTCCATGTCCAGCAAGAACTTCCAGGTTTTTGTTGTTTTTTGTTTATGCTTTGGTGGTGGTGGTGGTTGCTACCACCTGGAGAAAAGCTGCCTTTGCAGCCCCACAACTGTGCAGTTGCTGTGAGTGAGCAGGCTGGGAACCACATGCTCTTGTTCTGACATTCACTGGAGGCACCCCCCTCCCCTTTCCTTACAAGGCATCTCAGAGGATTGTCATTTGAGGCAGGCCGGATTCACTGGTGTGACTGTTTCAGGACTGGCTTGTCTCATTAAAAAACATTTTTTGGATCAGAAACAATGAGGGGTGGGAAAGGCAACAAAAGCCTCTTGAGATTCCCGGATTGCTCAGGATGTTATAAACAGTAAGTGCTGCTTTTGATCTTGGAGGGTGGTGTGGGGTAGGCGAGAAAGGGGGTGGTGGTTATTGGGAAGAGGGCTGGAGCCAGACAGCCATAATGGCTTGTCCAAAGGCTGCTGTGAATCCCAGTGGCAAAGAGCTCTGCACTTCCCGCTAATTTCTGTTTTCTTTACTGTGGCTGGCTTTATTAAAAGGACATAAGGAAGCAGCCTAGACATTCAGTCCAATCAGTTTTCTAGGGTAGCAGATGAAAAATAAAATTGGGCCTTTTGTATTTACATAGAAAGTAAGTAGGGTGGCTAGCTTTTATGGCTTATTCACTTTCTTGCAGGGAGAGAGGATGCTGTCTGTCTGTCTCTCATATGTATATAACATGCTTGGAATGCTATAAGTTATCAAAGATTCATTAGATGAGCACAGATCTTTCATTCTGTCTTGAAACATGGCAAGGTTTGAAGTTGGTGGACCAATGAGAAGCTGTGCTGCCTTGAACAATAATTTTAAAAGAGTTGCTCTGACAGCATATCTTTTGTAACTTTTTCCTCTCTGTGGTTCTGCAGTAGCCATTTTGTGTCTGAGTGACATGGAATTTCTGTGTTGCTTTTTTCTTTTTTTTGGAGACAGAGTTTCCCTCAAGCCAGTTGCCCAGGATGGAGTCCAGTGGTGTGATCTCAGCTCATTGCAACCTCTGCCTCCCGTGTTCAAGCGATTCTTGTGCCCCAGTCTCCTGAGTAGCTGGGAGCACAAGTGTGCGCAACTGTGCCCTGCCAATTTTTTTGTGTATGTGTTTTTAGTAGAGACGGGGTTTCACCATGTTTGCCAGGCTGGTCTTGAACTCCTGTCCTCAAGTGATCCACCTGCTTCATGGCAGGTGAGCCACTGCATCCGGTCTGTCCATAGTTTCTGGAACACAATTAGAAGTGAGATCTGTGTTTGAGGGAGAAGCAGGAAAAGTTTAACCTGAGGATGGCCCTTTAACTTTATATGATGAAAAACTACCTAATCAATGGTTGCAGATTATGTAAATTAAAATAGTGGTGGGTACTTCTTAAACAAATTATGCAAATTTGATGCAGTCATCAAGGCTTCTTGCTTCACTGCATCATTTACCTTTTGATTTCAGAGAAGTTCAGCCCCTTGACTCTTTCCTTATTCGAACTGGAGCTAAGCACTGAGATATTTCAGCCATACGCTTGTTAGGGAGTGTATCTATGTAAATACAAGTAATTTTAAGTAGACAAGGCTATATTAGTAGAACCTGATTACTTTTATCTTGCTGGTTTCTTCCATTGTTTTATTAGTATGTTTCAAATATTTACCATGGTGAGCCGATCAGCTTCTGATCTATGTGGATCAGTATCCAACAAAAACTGACTAGAAGAGACTGTGGTTGTGGATGCTTGTGAAGAGAATGGAAAATGTATTACAGTGTTAATGTCCTCTACAATTCCAGTGACTTAGTATTCAGTTAAGACACAGGTAAGGTGTTGGTTATAAGCCGGTAATTCAAGTTAGGTTAACTCTGTTTCTTTTCCATCATAACCAGTTGAAAAGAGGAAGACTTTACATTTAATTAGGTAGTTCGTAGAATGTAAGTGTGAGAATAGAAAAATATATTTAAGAAACTCAGTCATTGTTCTTTACACAAATTAGAGTGGATTGGTAGCTTTGGGGGATTTAAGTGGGTTGAAGTAGAAGGTGAAATGATGACTGTTAATTATCAAAAACCATACATAAATGTGATTTGTAGTTTATTTTGAAACCTACTGTAGTTTAAATTCATCTGGTATTCATTACAATGCAGTTCTTAAAGAAGATGAAACTGTATAGCTAATGACCCAAATGTTTCCTTCTTATCTAATCAGGGATCCTTCTTTAGTAGCTAGATTAGATGTTATTCAGAAAGGATAATATAGGAAATAATTACTGTATTTCATTTGTGGAGTTAAGCATATGGCCTCTAATTCATTTTCATATGCAATATATGTAAATTAGAGACCAATCTATATTATTTTCAGCCATGGCCATGCAAGAATATGATTCATTCTCTCTCTCTCTCTGTGTGTGTGTGTGTGTGTGTGTGTGTGTGTTAGTTAAACTTGCATGTGAAGTATGACTTGCAGTTTGTAGTAATTTTGTGATGCTGGTACATTTTCTCATCTTGTTTGGGAGTTTTATGAAATGTTAGAATTCAAATTTGGGGATGGGAGGCGGTGTATCATATGAATGATTTCATTATTACAAGTAGTATTTTGCAGTAGTTAGTATGTTGTGAGCAGATTGAAAATGCCAGGAACTTAAAAGAATTTTTGGAAGAAAATAACTAGATCTGTGCAAGAATTCAACAGTCTGATTACTCAGTGTTATCAATTACAAAACACCTGGCCCTGTGCCATGATATATATACTATATATCAGTATAATCAGTATAATCATACACCTTCTTGTGGGGATAAAGGGAATGAAGGGAATGTCATTTTTTTACATCACAAAGAAAAATCATGAAATTATTAATAGTTGTGAGTTGTCCACTCTGTAACTAAGGCTAACTATGAACTAATGAACTCACATGTAGTATTAATTACGGCACATATTTCATTAATGGGAACCTGCAATTCAAATTATGTTTGAGCAGGAAATATTTAACAATTTTGTAAACCTTTTTGATTGGGCCTTGAAACATGGTTTGTAGCTTTTTATTACTTCTGCTCTGTTTCTTAAATGTGGGTGGCAGTGAAATCAAGATCTCTATTCAGAACCAAAGACTGACTGTCAGGGGGTTTATCTACTTCGTAACTTGTCATTAGAAAACATGATTTCCTTCAGCTTCTCCTCGTATTTACAAGCCAATTGCTTGACTCTTCTTTGGGTCAGTGGCTAAGTAAGTTAACAAGAACAAACAACAGAAATGCTTTCTTTGAAGATATGAGACTTCAATAATAGAGTGTGAGTTAGAATAGCAATCTAATTTTATAATTGGAAGAATTCTTGTTTTTTTTTTTTTTTTTTTTTTTTTTTGAGATGGAGTCTCACTTTGTCGCCCAGGTTGGAGTGCAGCGGTGTGATCTCGGCTCACTGCAAACTTCGCCTTCCGGGTTCAAGCAATTCTCCTGCCTTAGCCTCCCAAGTAGCTGGGATTACACTGCCCAGCACTACGCCCAGCTAATTTTTTGTATTTTTACTAGAGACGGGGTTTCACCATGTTGGCCAGGCTGGCCTCAAACTCCTGACTTCGTTGTTCGCCTGCCTCCCAAAGTGCTGTAATTACAGGCATGAGCTACCGCGCCCGGCCTGGAAGAAGTATTAGATTTAGTGTCTAGTGGTTAATGGGAGAATGGGAAATCTGCATAGCTCCTGTTTGGTAGCATGAAAAACACATAATTGTAATTTCAAATATCCAAACAGGCATGTAGAATCATAGGGTCATTTGTTGAAGCTTAGTTTTCAAGGAGCAGTAAGAGTGAGGAAAAGGTGCACAGGCTTCTGTGCTTCTGATTCTGAGACTTGGTTAGAGGGCACTTGCCAGGCATGGTGACACACTCCTGTAGTCCTAGCTACGCAAGCCATATTCACTATTATCACTCTCTGGACCAATTATTGATTTGCAAGTTCCTGTGAAATGTTTTATCACCCAGTGTGTTTTGTCTGTGTACAGGAAGCACTGGATACACTGGCTAGGTGTGTGCTTTTAAGTAACATTCTTCTCTGATTCCTTTCCTTCAAAGTGGGAGATACTGGTAGCATCTACCTACCCTGCAAGGATTTAATGAGTTTTAATGACATGAGAAATGCTTAGATTTCAGGGATTTGACTAAACCCAAATACCTGGGCCATATTTTTAGCCAGGAGCCAGGGAATATTTGCACTAAGCCACTGGCTGACCCAAAACTTCTCTCTTTAAGTCATTTAGCCAAACAGCAAATTAGGGAGCCAGCAGCTCATTTTGGGGGTGATGTTTTGTATGAGAAGTTGGTGAACCCTGGGGGTAGCAGTAGGGGAGATTTCAGCATAGAGAAGAGGGGATAGTTGATTTCCTAAACCACTTCCAAATTATGTCTTCAAACAAAATAAAACTTTCCCCTTGATTTCCAAATTCCAGAATATTAGGCATAACCATAATATAAACATAACAGCATACTCTTAAACCAGAGAGAAAAATTCCAAGCTGTTCTGAATTATCTGGTTCATTTGAGATTGGACTGTATGCAATTTGGTCGTAGCAGCAGGCTCATTCTAGCAAATGCTAAGGTAGCAAACACCAGGACTGTAGGTTACTTTTCCTCACAACATTCTGGTTGTAGGTTTCCTGACACATTCATTCTGGCTGTTTTTCTTTTGCACTCTGTGGTACGAAACCTCTTAGCTCTGTGTGGGTGGTGGGCTTTTGCTTGCCAGGCAGGCAGGCACAGCCTGGTTTCCCAAATGCATTTCTCCCTGATTGCCTTCTCTATCCATTAAGCATATCTGAACTGTGTAGGATTAGCTGTGTCTTGTTCTTTCCTTTTCTTTCTTACAATCACAGGAATGAGCCAGGTGTGTGTGTGTGACTCACCCTAGCCCAGCCTGGGTGTGCTACAGCACCGGGAAATCCTGCCCTCTTGGCCTAGCGTCTTCATAGATATGTGGCTTGGCCTTCTCTCTTTGGTGCTTTTCCCTTGACAGCAAACTTGTCGTCTTTTGTCTTGAACTTTATTGCTCAGAGACCACCCTACTGCTGTCCTTTTACTTCAGATCTTCAAATTCAGTCACATACTGAGGTACTAGGGGTTTGGACTTAAGCATAAGACTTTTTAGGGGACACAAGGCAACCTGTAACATTTCTTAACATTGCCTTCCAAAGAAAATTCCTTTTGTTGGGTGTGGTGGCTCACACCTGTAATCCCTGCACTTTGGGAGGCCGAAGCAGGCAGATCGCAACATGGTGAGATTCTCTCTTTACTCAAAATACAAAAATTAGCCGGGTGTGGTGGTGTGCGCCTGTAATCCCAGCTACTCTGGAGGCCACGTGAGAATCACTTGAGCCCTGGAGGCAGAAGATGCAGTGAGCTGATCGCGCCACTGTACTCCAGCCTGGGTGACAGAGCAAGATTCTGTCAAAAAATAAAAAAGGCTGGGCGTGGTGGCTCATGCCTGTAATCCCAGCATTTTGGGAGGCTGAGGCGGGCGGATCACAAGGTCAGCAGATCGAGACCATCCTGGCTAACATGGTGAAACCCTGTCTCTACTAAAAATACAAAAAATTAGCCGGGCGTGGTGGCGGGCGCCTGTAGTCCCAGCTACTCAGGCTGAGGCAGGAGAATGGCATGAACCGGGGAGGCAGAGCTTGCAGTGAGCCAAGATTGGGCCACTGCACTCCAGCCTGGGGGACAGAGCTAGACTCTGTCTCAAAAGAAAAAAAAAAACTGGAAAAAAAAAAAAGAAAATCCTTTTTGATTTGTATGAAGCCCAAGGTATTATCATTCATCCTTTTTGTGTCCTAGGAAATCTTTGTATAACCTAAGATTGGAAGGATTATCTCTTGTGTTTCCTCTTGGAGTTTTATAATTTTTTCCCCCACATTTTGCTTGTGATCACTTTAAAAAGAAAAGCTTCACGAATTTGCATGTCATCTTTATACGGGGGCCGTGTTATCTTCTGTGTAATGTTCCAGTTTTAATATATGAGCTGCCAAGGTGAGCACTATGACCCCCCTCCTTTTTCTTCTTCTTTTTCTTTTTTTTAAAAGACAGTCTTTGAACCAGGCTGGAGGTTCACTGCAATCTCCGCCTCCGCCTTCTGGGTTCAAGCAGTTCTCCTGTCTTGGCCTCCCAAGTAGCTGGTACTACAGGCGTGCACCACCACGCCTGGCTGATTTTTGTGTTTTTTTTTTTTTTTGGTAGTTTTGTAGCCTTGCTTTATTTTCCAGGCACTTTGCAAACTCCTGAGTTCAAGTGTGATCCTCCTGCCTCGGCCTCTCACAGTGCTGGGATTGCAAGTGTGAGCCACCGCTCCCGCCAACTGCTTTTTGAGTTAATATTTGTTTGGAGCAAAGTACGGGTCAGAGGTGGTTTTGTTATTAAAAAAAAAAAAAAGAAAAGAATGTCTTTTGTTGTTGTTGTTTTAAACTCTGAAAGCATTCCCTGCCCTTTGTCAAAGAATTTCAACAGCCCTGAAAGGAATAAAGTAATAAGTTGCACTCAAGCCTGCCTAAATCCCTTGCTGGAGGAGATGCTTTTAGAGTTTTTCTGTGTATTCGTATGTGTTTATAATTTCTTTTTTTTTCTTTAATGAGGACCATACCACAATTTCAAAACTTGATTTTTTTAACTTAATTTAGTCACCACCTTTACTTCCTCTTCAAACATGGTTTTTCTTCCCATTTTCTTTCTTTATAAAGACTTTTATAATCTGTACCTTGTACCTGAGGGAATTGTGTTGTTGTTAATTTTGACTTTTATTTGCAATAAGAACTTTCGAATTGAGACCCAGTATTTGTGGCTACCTGTGTGTGTGCACACACACAACTGAAACAATTTCAGCTTAGCCTCACTCTCCGTGTTATATTGTAATCTATCCTTTTTTTCCCCCTATTTAATTTAAAAGAAAATTGCTTGTCAAGAGACCCAGCATATTGATTTCCTATTAGGGATCAGCGGTCTAGAAGTACATCTTGAACATTCACAGCTTGTCCTGAATTTAGCTGTGGGAATGTCTAAGGGTACTTTGACCAGTCCATACTACAGAGACCCTTTCTTCATGATGGTGTGGTGTGCAGGAGGGTGTTCAGGGGTGACATGATGTTCTTTTTGTCAACTTGGGACTTTGATTTCACCAGAGTAAAGAGGATCGTAGAAATCTTGCTAAGTCAAGGAAATTCTTATTTACCGCCATAGACTTTGCTCCATCACAGCGGTTCTCAAACTGTCATCTAGGGATCCCTAGATCATAGTCCCTTCCTGGGAGTTTCCAAGGCGAAAAGTAGTACCATGGTAAAAACTGAGACATTATTGTCTTCATTTTCTCACAAATGTGCAGTGGGGCTTTCCAGATACTACATGATATGTGATATTGCATCAGATTGAATTGAGTTATGAGAACTGTGTTGACTCCCGTTAAGCCAGATATTAAAGACTTTTGCAGAAGTGGAAAGCAGTGCCACTTTTCTCACAGTTTTTTCAATGTGTAAAATACAATTTTCATAAAAATTTTATTTCTGTTAACATGTAATGATTGTATAATTTTCTAAATGAATTAATATGAAATTTGTTTTAATTTCTAGTATGGTAAATATCAATGTGTATATGAAACCCAGGTAAACAGTAGCTTTTTTGAGTCCTGAAAATATGCAGTACACTTCTATGCAGCCTCTCCTAATTGCAGAAGTATCAACCCATGGTGAATTTTGTTTCATTTACACCTTTACTCTAAGTGAAGCAAATCTCAGACATTTTTTTGGGGGGTGGAAGGTGGAGACAGGGTGGAGTTCAGTGGTGGTGCCATCATAGCTCACTGTGACCTCAAACACCTGGGCTTATGCAATACTCTCGCCTCAGCCTTCTCACTAGCTAGGACCGCATGTGTGCACCACCATACCCAGCTAATTTTTATTTTTGGTAGATGGGGTCTCACTATGTTGCTCAGGCTGTCCTTGAAGTCCTGGCCCCATGCCTTAGCCTTCCAAAGTGCTGAGGTTACAGGAGTGAGCCACCACGCCTGGCCTGTCAGTATTAATGTTTTTATTTTCTTTGGAGACAGATTCTGGCTCTGTAACCCAGGCTGGAGTGCAGTGGCTCGATCTTCGCTCACTGCGACCTCCACCTCCCAGACTCAGACAGTTCTCATGCCTCAGCCTCCCAGGTAGCTGGGACTACAGGTATGTGCCACTGCACATGGATAATTTTGTATTTTTAGTAGAGACATGGTTTCACCATGTTGGCCTTACTGGTCTCAAACTCCTGGCCTAAAGTGATCAGTCCACCTTGGCCTCCGAAAGTTCTGGGATAATAGGCGTCAGCCACCACGTCCAGCACAGCATTAATTTTTAAAAGCTGTGAATTCTATTTAGAGAAAACATACCCATGATAATGATAACATAATGAGTCAAGTGTTCAGATTTCCCCTACTGTCAGTCTCATGTTTTCAAATAAGGTCTATACATTGATACTGGTTGGGTTGATAAAACATGTTTGTTTTTAATCTCTCTGTCCCTTTAATTTGTTGTTCTTGAGGAAATGAGGTCACTTGTTCCAAGTGCCACAGCTTTTGAGAGTGAAGGTGGGTCATTTAATCTGGCAGCAACATTTGGGCCCGACCTGAAACACGGCTGATGGGTTTTGCTTTGGGATCTTTTTTCTCCCCTTTCTCTTACTCTGTTAGCCTCCTTCCTCCTTTTCTTTTTTGGGGTTGGTGCTGTTTCTTTTTTAAAAATTTGTTTTTTAAATAGACAAATAAAAATGGTAACTTCTAGGTTCCTTTTTTGTTTTCTTTTTTAAGAGACGGTCTTGCCCTGTCACCCAGGTTGGAGTGCAGTGGTGCTATCATAGCTGGCTGCATAGGTGCCTTTTGACTCGCCTCCACCCCACCCCTGCACATTTTCATATTATAGTCCCTTATCAGTCTCAGGGCATAACTCTGCAGTATGTGTAACATTCAGCATACTTGGTGAGGCCACGAGGGGGAGATCTGATGATGGCATCTAGGGCAGGTATAAATGTGAGTGATACTGCATTCAGCTGCCATCCCTTCCATTCTGGAAGAGTGTGTGTGTGTGTGTGTGTGTGCGCGTGTGTGTGCGTGTGCATGTGCGTGCATCCCCGCATGCTGCCAGTGGGTGGTGGGGAGGAGTAGAGAGGACTAAGAATGAGGGAGGGAGGTCATAAAGGACACAGGAAGCCTTGGAAAGAAGGGCACGTAGCAATCTCTGGGGTAAAACAGCAGAACTATAGAAATTTGGTTCTAGGACAGTCTTTATAAAAAGAATAAATTCAAGAAGCAGATGAATGGGCTTGGTTGTGACCTGGACTGCAACGCGGTCTCTGCTGTCTTTACTTTCACATTCTTGTCCTTCAAGGCTCAATGTTATGTCTTTTGTGAAGCGTTTTTCATCCCCCACTTAGATGCATTTTCCGTGTTGGAGTAGCTGTGTTGTGCACCTCGTTTGTATTTGTCTCCACACACATTATACAGTATCTTGTTTGTTTTCAGAGAACCCCTACCATCCCCAGCCTAGCCACCTTTGATTCATCTTAGTGGATTGCCAGTGAATATTTATTACAGGCCCAGGACATGTAGCTGTTCAATAAATATTGGTGCAATGGAAGACTCTCCTCTGTGTGAGAGTTCATGAAGGGAACCAGGAGGTGAATTTTAAGGGTCAGTGGCTTGCAACACTCCTGGAAGGGCTTTCCAGGACCTCTTCTGAGGTCCGAAGAAGCAAAGATCACCCCCCACAAAGTCACCTGTATGGAATTCAGGTAGCGATAGAGCTTGTGAACAGGATCTCCAAATTCTCCAAAACATAGTAAAGCTGCTATTTACTGGGCACCCGCTGTGTACCAGGCACTGGGCAGGATGATATGCTTTACATGTATTACTTGCAATTCCTAATAACACCAGTGTCTGCAGGTTGCTGTTGCAGGTTGCAAGTTACTGTGCTGCCTTATACCTGTAGTTACTTGAAATGCTGAAAATCGAAGGTAATAGAAAAACTTATTATCATTTAGTGTCATTGGGAGCGTTAAGTGATTAGATGTATGGTGCTTAGAACATTGCTAAATTTTATTGACTGCTTAATCCTGTTGTTCCAGAAGCAGAATTTGATGTATACAATTGTTTATCTAGGTTGCCCAGTGTAATATAGTAAGTGTTAAAGCCAGGACCACAGCCTCGTTTACTCCAGACTTCAGAACATCCATACAGTCAAAATGTGTGTCTGTGGCCTCAAAGTAAGAGATTCAGATGGTCAAGAAACACCTTCCTCTGTTTCAAATTCACGATGACTTCATTTACACCTGTGCAGCACATGTTAATATGGCATGGGCTATTATTGCTGCAGGAAGGGTACCTGTCAAGTATGTAGAGTGCAAAGGACCCTTCCTTAGATGTCTAGCTGCTGAGGCCCCACCTGTGTGGGGATGGGCATGGAGGCACCTGCCTTGTTCAAGAAGCCTGTGAACAGTGACCAGCAGTAAAAGCCAGAGAGATCTTCAAATGTAGTATCTTAATAATGGGCTTTTTTTTTCTAGTTCTTCTTTTTCCCTTGGGGCCACATGAGCATCTGTACACCTATTGTAAACCCATTGTGTCAAGGAAACAAAGTAGGTCAGAAACAGGATTTAGGAACCCAAAGAAATAATCTTTGTTGATGCTTAAATTGAATGAGGCAGAAACAAATGTCTCTTTAATATGGTTTTTTTTTTTTGGGGGATTATTTTGGTATCACCCCAAGCCTGTAATTCCCTCCTTAGTCATCATCTTACTATCCCTTGGGACTCTGGCCTGGGATTCTTCTGCTTTGTGGTTGTGATTAATCCTGCAATGAGTGAGTTGGGGAGGGATGGGCCTGGGGAAGTCAGCTGCTGCTAGCAGCAAGCAGGGGTAGGGTTTATAGGGAGAGTTGACATCCTGCTGGGATCTAACAGAAAAGTTTGAAGATTATTGTGCTGAAATAAACTAGCTCACAATTTTGCTGTTTGACTCAGGGCAAGCTCACTGTAAATCTCAAGGAGTACTGGACTGTATGATGGCCTCTTTTGCTGTCCTTATCCCCACTGGAGGATGCACAGATTAGTTAATGTCTCCCTTTCATGAATGCAGCTTTTATCTTTAATAAGCGGGTTAAACCGCATGCGCTCTGTCTAGTCTGTGAAGGTCAGCCAGCCATTCGGATTTTATCTTCCCATTTCTAGACTGCTGACAGAGTTCTTGTGCAAAGTTAGGAATCTTTGGGTTTTAAAATGTTTTCTTCCTTTGCCCATCCATGACATGCCCTTATTCTTGAGGGGAGGAAAAAGAAGGCCTGAGTCTCTGTTAGGTTGCAAATATTGTCTATTTTTTGGGAGTGATCTTTGTAGAATCTGGGCAGTGACTTTTGTTGTTTTGTAGTCCTGATGATTTAAAAAACATATCTCATATATTTCTTTACATACAGCTCAGAGCTCAACATTGAAATAGATGTTCAGCAGATTCTTGCCCCCACTTAATTTTCACTGGGTTTCTGGGTTTTTACTGTGATTAAACTTGACATTCATTTAAGGAATGAGTTGTGATGTTCTCTGGTCATGACCTAAGGAAAAGGATATATATGTGCTCTAGGAGTGAATTCTGGTGAGAACGTTTGTATTCTTTCCTTTCCTCTTTGATTTCACAAGTCAGGCTGTAACTTTAAAAGAAACTATAGGGGCTGTTCCCCAGGTTATTCACAAAACGAGTCTTTGTCTGCTTTTTCATTCACCATCTGGTATACAAAGCTAAATTGGAATCGTGCTTGTTTTAATTATTTTCTACTTGTGTGGCCAGGAGGTTATTTGGTCTGGTGAGGTTACATTATAAGCCTGCGCACTCATTAATACCACCGAATCCACATCCTGCGCCAGCATTGGAATGGTTAAGTTGATCCACTTGTGTGGCCAGAGTTTGATACAACACAGTGGTCACGACCACATTACCGGAGGAAGTATGGTGTGTGGGTTTTGCCCTCTTCTTTTTTCATTTTTTCTTCCAATAATGTTAATTGTTTCAGTGTATTTTTTCTTCCAGTAGAAATATGACTTAGGTTGGCAATCTTAGATTAGTGCCTGGTGTTTATTAAAGGGACAATGTATTTCAAAAATCAGTTCTAATATATTAAAAGCATAGAGTGTAAATTAGGAAAACAGTCAAAACATTTAACATTTTGAACACTTCACAGAATGAGTAATGGAAATAGTGTAGCCAGAAACTTCTCTGCGTGGTCATTATTATTGGTGAATCAGCCAAAAGATGCAATCATTGCTAAGAGGTATTGTTTAATACTGGGAAAGTCACATCAAAAGCTTTCTCAAAAAATATATATTTTAAGTCCTCCTTCCATTCTTCACTTTCCTGTCTTGGGGAGACAGAATACTTCAAAGTAGTCTGTTTTTAAAAGGTGACTTCTTTCAGGTTTTGGGAAAGAGTGTTATGTGTTGTAATTAAGTAATTGTTCCCTAAGATAGTCCTTAAGTACAAGGACATCTCACTAGACTTCATTGTCTTGTGAAAGGAGCGGTATTTCAGGAATTAACTACTCATTTAATAAAGCAAAAAGGCTGGATGTGATAGCTCACACCTGCAATCCTAGCACTTTGGGAGGCTGAGGCAGTTCGATCACTTGAGCCCAGGAGACTAGCCTGGGTGATATGGCAAAATCCTGTCTCTACAAAAAAATACAAAAATTAGCTGGGCATGGTGGCACACACCTCTAACCCCAACTAGTTGGGTGTCTGAGGTAGGTGGATTGCTTGAGCCTAGGAGGTCAAGGCTATAATGAGTCATGATTGCACCACTGCACTCCAGCCTGGGTGGCAGAGAGAGAGATCCTGCCTCAAAAAAAACAAAAACAAAAACAAAAAAAACAAAAAACCTGTAGGCCAGGAGTGGTGAAGGAAAACAGAAAGAGTGCCCTTAGAAGTATAATACTGGAAACTGTCTTTTTGAGCAACACTTTAAGAAATACCCCAGACTGAATGGGGAATTCACAACATTTTGCATTTGTCAAAACCTGTAGAATGTAGAACACAAAGAGTAAGTGAATCCTAATGTAAGCTGTGACTTCCATTAATAGTACGGTGGGGGGCCGGGTGCAGTGGCTCACGTCTGTAATCCCAGCACTTTGGGAGGCTGAGGCAGGCTGATCACCTGAGGTCGGGAGTTCGAGATCAGTCTGACCAACATGGAGAAACCCCGACTCTACAAAAATTAGCCGGGTATGTTGGCAGGAGAATCGCTTGAACCCAGGAGGTGGAGGTTGCAGTGAGCCGAGATTGTGCCATTGCACTCCAGCCTGGGCAACAAGAGTGAAACTCCATTTCATAAAAAGTACGGTGGGACCCCCTTTCTGCAGTTTCGCTTTCTGTGGTTTCTTAAAATAAACAGGTGTCTGAAAATATTAAATAGAAAATTCTAATTCATAAGTTAAAAAAAAAATCCTAGACTTAATGTCCCTCCTTCCGGACTGTATTGTTCTGTTTGATATTTGTGAGCACACCTGCTAAGCCAGTCCATTAGAACTGCATGCTTGATGCAGGAACTGATGCCCTCAGAAAGTCTGCTTGAAAATAGTCGCAGTGCCAAGCTCGAAACCAGTTGCTCTTCGCCATATGTCAGAGTGAGGAAGGAAGGGTGGGGGGATTAGAATGTGCTAGGAAAAAATTCCGACAAAGAATTAGAATTTTATGCAGAAACAACTATTGATAATTTATTAATATTTACAGGGCATGTCAAATGGTTCTGTGAGAAAAACCAAATTAGCAAGCTACCTCAGGAATTTAATTTTTAGATATATCTGAATATTAACTGGGGCTCAAACATGCCAGACAATTCTTTTAGTAATGAATTAGAATATATCATGTAATACTGTTACCATCCAAGACTCCCAGTGTTAACACCAAATCTTAATTTTCATTTCATTAACCTGGCAGGTATTTGAAAGCAGCATTGTATCAAAACAGCTTTATTATGTAGAAGGAGCAATATTTAATAGCTCTGTTCCAAATTACTCCTAACTTCCCTGTATTTCTGAAGGAATATTTATTATAGTGACAAAAGCCTGTACAGCAGCTCCAGGAGAAGAGACCACAGTGTTTAGAAAAAGAAATTGGCTTGCAGCTGTGGTGGGCGCTACTTGTGTAAGTCCAGCTGTCCCCCTTGAGCTCCTGCCAGTCTGATAGGCCTTCTAAGTTGTTGCAAGACCTGAACAGTTCACTTGTCTAGATCCTGCAGAGCTGGAAAGAGAACAATTTTTTTGTGTGTGTGTTTGTCCTAAGAAATAATCCAAAATAGTTTTCAATACATACATTCGTTGTCTGTCTACTCCTTGTTTCTTAAGGTTCTTCCCGTATTCTTCTGTTATTTTTAAAAGAATAACAGCTTTATAGAAATGTAATCCTCACACCATAAAATTTACCCTTTCTTTTCTTTTCTTTTCTTTTTTTTTTTTTTTTTTTTTTTGGAGACGGAGTCGCCCAGGCTGGAGTGCAGTGGCCCCATCTCTGCTAACTGCAGGCTCCGCCTCCCGGGTTCACGCCATTCTCCTGCCTCAGCCTCCCGAGTAGCTTGGGACTACAGGCGCCCACCACCAGGCCCGGCTAATTTTTTGTATTTTTAGTAGAGACGGGGTTTCACTGTGTTAGCCAGGATGGTCTTGATCTCCTGACCTCGTGATCCACCCGCCTCGGCCTCCCAAAGTGCTGGGATTGCAGGCATGAGCCACCGTGCCCGGCACATTTACCCTTTTAAAGTATATACAACTCGGTGTTTTTTAGTATATTCACAGTTAGGCAAGCCATTACTACTATGTAATTGTGGACTATTTTCATCAATCCAAAAGGAAATCTTGTACTGATCAGCAGTTATTATTTCTTCCCAGGCCCTAGCAACCACTAATGTCCTTTCTGTCACTGGATATTCCTATTTTGGCCACTTCATATAAATGGAATCATATGCTATGTGGCCATACGTGTATGGCGTCTTTCACTTAGTATTATGTTTCTCCATGTTCCGTGAATCAGTACTTCATTTCTAATCTCCTCCTTTTTCAGTTCTTAGAATGGTGGTTAAATACACATAACACCAAATTTATCATTTTAACCATTTTTTGTGTGTACAATTCGGTGGCACTGACAACATTTGCAGTGTTGTGCAACCATCACCACTATCCATTTCCAGAATGTATTCCTTATTATTGCTGAAAAAAATTACATTGTATGAACACTGCATCTTATTTATCTAACCATCATATATTCTAGCTATTTGAGTGCCAGATTGGTTCAGTAAATACGTGGGTGAAAGAGAATAGCATTATGCATGATCAGGAATGAAATTCAAAGTTGGTGCCATAACATACAAGTGACTAGGGAGTCTTGGGGCCAGGGAAACCTAAAGGTAATCTTTTCAAAGGAGCCACCTATCAGGATGTTCTGGAGAATAGAAGGGTGCTTCCCCCGCCCCGAGACTGGTTTGGATGAACACACAAAATATATTTAGTGGGCAAACCTTTAAAATATGACATCTTAGCGTGCGGAAGTCCATAACCCCAAAGGAGGGCTTGCTCAGTACATGCAGAGGTGTTCCCAGAGCATGTATAAGTCTGTACGGTTGTGCAAACAGGAATTGATCTGACAGCGTGAAGACACAGCAGCCTTCTCTAATTAAAGCCTCTTGATGACATTAAACTGTGTTGCTTAATTACAATAAATCATACATTAACAGATCATGTCTCCAAAGAAGCATTGTCAGTGTGCTGCATAATGGAATAAAATTTGACCTTGTAATCACAGGGGTTCCTATGGAACAGTGGCTTATGTCACCAATAGGAACATGAGCCCTAGAGTTACTTTGGCAGAAGTCAGATCTTAGAATGCTTCCTTATAATTCTGTTTCTATAAAAATGTTTTTTCTATATTGATACGTATTTTAATGTGAGGATGCTTTTTATATACCTTGAAGGAGTAAGGTTTTCCATTCATTCCCTGCCACTACTTTTCTGATCACCCCCTCTTCATTTCAAGCTAGTCTGGATTTGACATAATTTTTACAGCAGTTTTTGCATACTCCTTTTACCATGTGCTTGCTCCTTTTGCTGTTTTCCATTGCGCTTTGGGGTACCAGCTTTCTGACTGACAGATGGGCCAAGTCAGGTACAGGCTGTTGTTACCAAAGGGCATCTTCCATCATGTTGTTTGTTTCTTCAATACTGTAATATTTGAGAGAGTGTACAACTCTAGATACAGAAGGCCTTTTGAAATTCTACACAAAGTCACAATAAAACTTGGGGTACTGTGGGCCTGGGGAGATTCTAGTTCCTGTTCAAAACTACTACTGCCATTTAAAGAACTGGAATATAACTGCATATCATACCACCTAGACTCATGAATATTGCTATTTTCATTGGTTTAATTTTCAAAAATTAGTGGTATTAAACCAGTGGGGTATATTTAATTTCTTCATGATGCAGATTATTAAACACTCACCAGCCTTACTTTCTCTCTTGATTTTATAAATGGTAATTGAAAGTCCATAGATTTTAGGTTTGTGGAACTGGAATGGGCCCCCAGGGGATATTCAGTCCACACCCCTCTTTTTTTTTCTTTTTTCCTCCTTCTTCTTTCCAGAGACAGTCTTGCTCCTTCACCCAGGCTGGAGTACAGTGGCTTGATTTCGGCTCACTGCAACCTCCGTCTCGTGGCTTCAAGCGATTCTCATGCCTCAGCCTCCCAAGTAGCTGGGATTACAGGCATGTGCCACTATGCCCGGCTAATTTTTGTATTTTTAGTAGAGACAGGGTTTCACCGTGTTGGCCAGGCTGGTCTTGAACTCCAGGCCTCAAGCGATCTGCCCACTTCGGCCACCCAAAGGGCTGGGATTGCTGGTGTGAGCCACTGCTCCTGGCCCACACCCCTCATTTTTCACTTGACCATGTTAGGTATGTCAGAGTCACCTTGCTTCTGGCAGGTCAGCCTCCTATAGTGCTGTTTAGAACTTCACATTTGACAGGTTTGACTGTTTTAGAAGTTCTCTGCTCTTCCTTCACATCTGGGATGCCATCATTCATTCTTTGTTCTCTTCTGTGTGAACATGGTCTTGTTGCAGTTCCCCTTTCTCTGCCTGCCTGTCCACATTGAGGTGTCCCTGGGGGGTGTCTTTTCTCCTAGTGTCCACTGTCCACACTGCAAGAGTGTGCTGGAGACTCCCAGATTTTCTGTCTGTGCCCCTCAAGCCTTAAGCATTCCTATGTGCTGCTCAGTGTTTCTGTGGACCAACAGCTGGAGCAGGCTCTGTATCTCCTCCTCCAGAGCATGGCCCCTTTGGCATGATGGCTTACCCCTGTAATCCCAGCACTTTGGGAGTCTGGGGGACGGATTGCTTGAACCCAGGAATTTGAGACCAGTCTGGGCAAAACCCCATCTCTATACACAACACACAAAAAAATAGCCAGAGGTGGTGGTATGTACCCGTGGTCCCAGCTACTCAAGAGGCTAAGGTGGAAGGATTGCTTGAGCTGAGGATTGGAGGTTGCAGTGAGCTGAGATTGTGCCACTGCACTCCAGTCTGGGTGACAGAGACCCGTCTCCAAGGGTGAATGAATGAATGAATGAATGAATGAATGAATAAATAAATAAATAAAGGCATGGCCCCTTTATCATCCCAGAAGAGAGGTAATTCCGGTGAGTGCTGTGGAGATCAGTGGCTGCCTTTTCCTGAAACTGAAAAACAGGTGGGGAATCTGAGGGAGGGAAGGAAAAGTATATCAAGCCTAACTAATTTATTTTTGTGTTTAACAACACTGGTGGTTCAGTAATATTTCGCTATTGCGAAGATTTCTGTATATTGTTGTTAAAAATAGGAACCTAAGATTAAATGTTTGTGGCTTTTCATGTTTTGGAATGAACTACTTTGGTCAAACTCAAAAAGTAATGCTTGCTAACTTAGTTAGAGCTGGAGTATAGATTTTAATTCTACATTTAAGACAATATTTGTAAATGCCTGTGTACAATGACATATAATAAGGGTCTTGTAGGGAAACCGTTTTGTCTGGGGAAAGAATGTTCCCCAATGTTGAACACTACTGTCTGGAGCTTGTTAAAAACATACCCCCTTCAGTGTTCTAATTTAGCATTGGTTCACTAGTAAAATTCAGGATTCTTTTTTTTTTTTTTTTAATAGATTTGGCAGTATACAGTTCTGTACGTTTCATGTTATTTTTACATTTGTTTTTAAAATTTAAGAGATGAGGTCTCACCATGCTGCCCCAGGCTGGTCTCCATCTGGGCTCAAGTGATCCTCCCACCTTGGCCTCCCAAGGTGCTGGGATTACCTGTGCGAGCCACTGTATTTTTTCACTCTCTTACTGTAATTCTGTTGCGCAGTCAGGATTGGAGACTTAGTGATCTGGTTAGCAAGTTCTCTCGCCAGAGAAGAGTTAACTTATTTTTAGTATTCAGAGTGTAGTTCAGTAAGTCACACATAAAAATCAATTTGTTATTTGTAATCACTCCACTTAAATGTGTAATGGGAAAGGTTCCATTGTCCTCCTCGCAGGGTGAGTGTAAACGAATGCGAAACTGTCTCTCTTCCTGCCTCTCTTCCAAAACCCTGCCATCTCTTTCCTGCGGCTGAGAGGCTCTGCTTCCCTTCATGCAGTTTTAAACCACCCTAACTGCCGATCAAAACCCCCAGACCTTGTCTCTTCTCTCTCTTACATGAGAGAGGTTTGAATGGCTCTTATCTCTTTCCTTACAATGTTAAGAGTTTTCCTCTAGGCATTGGCAATATTACTAAGTAAAATGAGCATTAGGCTCAGCTGCCAAAGATGCACATCAGACCAGATGTTCCTAGAGGTGCCATGTATGTGTCTCTAAAGCTCGACAGACACAGGCACTCATGGCTCAGGGCACCTCCTGTTATCCTTTCCTCTCCCAGCTTGGGTGGCTATGCATGCCTGCAGCAGGCAAGGTCTGAGCCCAACAGCCACGATGGGGGAGGTGGGTGGTAGAAAGCCATGGTGGTAGCTGAGACCCTACAGGGCCAATGGATGGGCACTTCTCGTCTGCCACACCAATGGAACCCCTGCCCGAGGAATTCAACCTGGTCTGAACTGGGAAAAGACATAAGGATTAGGGGGGGTCCACTTGCACTAAGCAAGGGGCTTTCTCCCCCCACCCCCCTGAATTTTCCCCTTTTTGCCTCTTAAACTGTTTCTCTCTTTTTTTCCTTTTCTGAGTGAGAAGGGTCCCCCTCCCAACTCTGTTTCTGATAGGGAAGTTAACGAAGGAACGGCCCCTGCTGGCTGAGAACTGCAGATTTGAGAGGGCACATTTGAGACACTCTACACAGATACAAACAGCCTCTAAAATGCTTTTTCAGTCCCAAACTTGATTCCAAGCTTCAGGCAGAGGCCCTAGAAAGAAAAACCAGGTCTGAGGGTTCCGAGGCCAGGCAACAGGCACAATGTAAATAGGAAGGACCAAGTCCTGCCAACCAAATCCTCCACCTCACGGAAGGACGCCATGCTTCATGGTGTAAACAGGCCCAGGGAACTCAGTTTGCCGACAGCAGGGAGAAATGGAGGCGTAGGTGAGGGCAGTTAATTCCTATTCTCCAGGTTTTCTTTGCTTCATGGGTATGTACTGCAGTGGTACCTATGGCTGGCCCAGGGATAAGAAGTGGAGAGTGAAAGGAGGCCACTCGCTTTCTCTGTCACAGCCTGAGTTTTCGCTGAAAGAAGGAAGGGAATGAGGGACGCCTCTATTCCCTGTCTTTCAGAATGGGCAACCAGTTCTCTTCACCACTCCCAGCTTATACTCCTCTGGAGTGTGTCCTAAACCATTGGGACTGCATTGACTCTCAGAATCTGGAGGAAAAATGCGTCGTAGCCCTCTGCACAAAGGTTTAGCCAAATTACGATTTACAGAAAGGACTGGCTTGGCTTCAGAAAGAAACCATTTATTTTGATACCATTTGGCAAATCTGTAGACATTGAGGACAGATGGGCTGAGGCCCCATATGTGCAGGCTTTGTATACCTTGCAAGGCAATCCAGACCTTTGCCGACAATATAGGATTGATCCAGCCCTCCTGTTTGCTGTCTCAGGGAAGGCTGCAAGGGGCAAGCCCAGGAAAGTAAAGAGGCACTCCCAGCAGAGGAACCAGCTCCCTCTAGCCCTGCCCCTATGGTCCACCCCAACTTCCCTATCTAGCTTCAGCCTCTCACTTGCTCCCTCCTAAAAATTCTTGCTCTCAACAAGGCCCAGTCTCACTCTTTCCCTTCCAGCAGATGCCCTTTGAATTTGGGCCCAGTAAGGCCCAGTTACCCTTCTCCCTACAGGACTTAAAGCAAATTAAGGAGGATCTTGGCAAGTTTTCAGATGACCCTGATAAGATATATAGAGGCTTTTCAGAATTTCACTAAAATATTTGAACTCTCCTGGAGAGAGGTTATGTTACTTTTGAATTAAGACCTTGACGAACACTGAGAAGCAGGCTGCTCTGCAAGCAGCAGAGAGATTTGGGGATGAGCTTTACGTCACATACAGCATCAGGGAAGGGGGCAAACATTATCCAACTGGAAGAGCAGTACTAATGGATGACCTTAAATGGGATCCCAGTGACGAGGTGGAAGACGGGAAGCGGAGACACTTTCAGGTGTGCATAATGGAAGGCTTACCTAGAACTAGGACCGGGCCTCTCAATTATACTAAGTTGTCCATGATTGACCAGGGATTTGGAGAAAATCCCACTGCCTCCCTGGAAAGGCTAAGAGAGGCCTTAGTAAAGCACACCTCCCTATCTCCTGATTCAGCCAAGGGACAGCTAATCCTAAAGGATAAATATATTACTCAGGCAGCCCCTGATATCAGGAGGAAGTTGCAAAAACTGGCCCTGGGACCAGAAATTACATTAGAGGACCTCTGGAAAGTGGCTACCTCAGTCTCTTATAAAAAAGAGAGAAGATGCAGGTATTCCCAGGGTGCACCTCTTAACTGCTAAAGATAGGGCAAGAACAGTTATCTCTCCCGCCCCACCCGCCCTGCTTTTTTTTTTTTCCTTAAGAGAGTTTCGCTCTTGTTACCCAGGCCGGAGTGCAATGGTGCGATCTCGGCTCACCGCAACCTCTGCCTCCTGGGTTCAAGCGATTCTCCTGCCTCAGCCTCCTGAGTAGCTGGGATTACAGGCATGTGCCTCCACACCCAGCTAATTTTGTATTTTTAGTGGAGACAGGGTTTCACCATGTTGGTCAGGCTGGTCTCGAACTCCCAACCTCAGGTGATGTGCCCTCGTCGGCCTCCCAAAGTGGTGGGATTACAGGCGTGAGCCACCATGCCTGGCCCAGTTAGCTCTCTTCTAAAGTTTATCTGCTCCCATACAAGGTTTCATTTCTTTCACCAGGGAGAAAAAACTCAGAGGACAATGTTGCTGTTAGTATATTTCACTTCTTATCTCTATGATCTTTGGCATTAATTTTTTTTTTTTGAATTGGAGTCTTGCCTTGCTGCCCAGGCTGCAGTGCAGTGGTGTGATCTTGTCTCACTGCAACCTCTGACTCCCGGGTTCATGCAATTCTCCCACCTCAGCCTCCTCAGTAGCTGGGATTACAGGTGCATGCCACCATGCCCGACTGACATTTGTATTTTTGTCCACTGCACCCGGCCTCAGATGCCATGTTCTAATGGGCTGTGTCTATAAAGTTATTAAAGAACAAGGGCCAAGTAATTTGGGGTGCCTTTGAAGTGCTGAGCATGGCCTTTCCAATTTGTGTGCACCTTCTTTCATTCTTACTTTACAAATGAAGGAAGCTGATGTCCAGTGAGGTCATACAGCAGGTACAATAATGGGCTGATTTCTGAGCCTGATTCTCAATCTGTGACTTGTGCGACATCATTGTACTTTTGATACTTTGTCATTAGTTGGGTGTGGATTTTACTACCTGGGAGTAGTTATGAACAACCAGTTTGGTGCTAATGAAAAGTAGTTGTGATTCCTTGACTAGATATGCCAACCTTCAGGTTTATAAAGACTACTCTCATCTTGCTTTGGCTGGTCTTTGTAGTGGATGGATATTGGAGAAACCCATGAGGTGATATATATGAAACAATATATTGGGGCAGACTTTTATTCATTCATTCCTAGGACTTAGGAGCCCTGCTGGTGTTCTGTATTGTGCCCCATTTATAGCCATGATGGTAGAGTTAGATTTATGAAGCTGAGGCCGTGATCTTTATTTCAATCCTACTTGGTCGTTTGCTGGTCAGAAATGTGTCTCGTTCCTCTTTAGTGGGAAAAATGTGAGTGTGAATGTAAGATAGTTTTAGATAACACTCAGTTGGCCTTATGACCTATCTGAAGTCCTGAAGTCAGCTATGGGATTACGATGTTTGCCTCCAAGCTGTGTCTTGGGAAGGGATGAGTCTTTCTCTGCATAGTAATTTAAACCTGGTCAAAGACCTGACCACCTCGAAGCAGGAAGCGGTGCTAATACACTTTCTATATCCAAGGACAGTTATCTCTTTTAAAAAGAAGTGAAACAAAAGAGACTGTATTCAAAAGGAAGTCTTTTCTTTTATACCCACGCTCTCCTTCCTGCCCATGTGATGTTAGAAAAAGTGTTATTTTCACTGTTACATAAAATTTTTTGATGGGTTCTTCTGTGCAGTTTTGAGATGTTTCCTAGCTGATGGAAAAGTATAAAAAATTCATGCAGAAATAATGCCTGCTGCCCAGCCCATTTTTTCTTGCTTCATGTACCTACTGTTTACATAAATGTTTTTCCCTCCCATATGTTCTTTTTTACTCTTCCACATTTGAGTGGAAGATATTTAAAAAGTTTTCTTATGTATACTTATGATTTTACTTGGAAACAGCAAATGTAAGGTCTAGAAGCAGAGGGGCTTTCAGCTTCTCTGCAACACACAGGAAAGTAGACAAAGTTTCTAGGGCAGGCCCCAGCCTCCAGGGTAAGATAGGCATGTGCCAGCAACCTTGCCTACCCGTCATGACCCTGCCATATTATAGGTACTGAGTCATGCTTCAACAAGGCTTCCCACACTTCATTGACTGGACCTTCTGTTTTGTCATCAGAATAATTTATATTTGTATATAAAATTTCTTGGTGGGGGGTAATACTGTACTCTAGCAGTGACTGAAGAGGTGCCAAGTAAGTTTGCCACCTATTGTGGGTTTAGTCTTTATTGTTAGTAAATGGCAAAGAGAAATCGATGAAAGGCAGAGTTTAGAGTAGTGCCCGCTTAAGGGCAAGATGACATAGTATCTGCATTGATAGACTCAATAAATGTTTAAACAAATGAAATGACATAGTTTAATATTATGGGAGGGTGTGTGATACTGATCATGACTCAAACTGTAGAAAGAAGAGTGAATATTCTTTCATTATTTCAATCCTATTTAAGTCCTGTTGAGTACAGTTCCATACCCTATTTTGTATTTGATTTACAAGAGCAATATATTTTTATCTTAGAACATTTGGGCTTTCTGCTAAAATAAAAAGGGGGGGGACAGCATTTATACCACACAGTGATAATTATTACCATTTTGTGGTATCCATTTTTCTTTTCTTTTTCTTCACCAAGTTGGGTAAAACATCGAGAAACAAAACAGAAACAATCCCCGGAGCAGCATTGCACATGCTCAGTCTCTCAAAGTCTGGCTTTTAAATAATTTTCTGCATCTTTCCTTGTAATTGGGTGGAGAATGTTCCACTGGGCAGCTGAGTTGAATCGCCACAATCTCTCCACTTGGCCTCTGTGCGACTTACTGTAAACATCTATTGTCTCCCAGGCAGTATGCAGTGTGATCCCTCTCCCCACCCATTGTGCCCATTTAGCCTCTGGGACTACCCCCACAAGGGTGGAAACCTGGGGCAGAGCAGACACTAAATACTGTCCAACTAGGGTGGTTGGATGCTCCAGGTTTGTCAGCCCAGTCACTGTCCTGCATTGCCTCCTAGAATTTATTAGCACCTACCTAGCATTGGGGTATCTAATTCAAACTAATTAGAATTAGTTTGATCTAATTCTGTGCTGTTGAAAGTAACAAAGTAGTGAGCTTAGTGCACCTTCATAATTAACTCCTTATGATAAAAAGGAGTGAATTGCTTATTCAGAATATACACATTTTTAATGGGGGGTATTCTATTAAGTTCTATTAACTTTTCTAGTTTGTTAAAATTATAGAAAAATTTGTGGTTTATACTGGCAAAATTTTCCATAAAATTATTCAACTAGCTTCTTCTTCAAAGTGAACATTATTATGCATCTTGACCTTTTCCCACCTCGTTATTTTGTGTCGTTACTTACCCATAATTTAGGTGTTTAGTACTAGTACTAAGTTAGGAAATTATTACTGAGGTGCTTTGATTGAAGACGCCTTTACTGAGTCCTTGGGAAGTAAAATAGTGACGGTTAGGCCTGGAGCAGTGGCTCACGCCTGTAATCCCAACATTTTGGGAGGCCAAGACATTTTGTGGTATCCAGTGTTTTGGGCGGGTTACCTGAGGTCAGGAGTTTGAGACCAGCCTGGCCAGTGTGGTGAAACCCCATCTCTACTAAAAATACAAAAATTAGCCGGGTGTGGTGTTCATATCTGTAATCGCAGCTACTTGGGAGGCTGAGGCAGGAGAAGCACTTGAACTCGGGAGGTGGAGGTTGCAGTGAGCCGAGATCGTGCCATTGCACTCCAGCCTGGGCGACAAGAACGAAACTCCGTCAAAAAAAAAAAAAAAAAAAAAAAGGGAATAGCTGCTTTACTTCACAGTCCTAGTTAAGGATTTAAAAAAAAAAAAAAGCTCATGAGCATGCTCTTCAAATTTTGGTTTTGTGATTTCTGGGGTTTTCCCATTTAATTCCAGATGGAAGAGTGTCATTAAGTTCTCTTCAAATGTAACCAAATTTAGTGTGTATTATTATTGCTGGTGGAATACAATGATGGTGAATATCCCATTAAAAACTCCTCCCTAGCCCCTAATCACATTGAAGTTACATTAAAGAGTTGGATGTGTATTGAAAGTATGATAGTCTCTTGCTATAAAATTAGGCTATTGTGCAGTCAAAGAGGCCTCTGCTAAGTGTGGTTCCATTTTGGTGTATTTGGAGGGAGAGGAAGGGCAGCCGGTATCCTGTCACTGTGTCCCCCAACATTGAGCAGATGTTCTCTGAGTTAATGTTGCTCTTCAGTTATCTTTGACAGAAGCAGGGTCTGGTTAAGATCAGATTGTTTAGACTAATGTACATTGATCTTGGCATAATGATCACAAGACTATAAGCCAGCTAGACAAGCAAGTGCTGGTGGTGAGTTGTTAGATTAAAAAAACAAAGCAGTTGTTTTGAGAATAACTTCGGTGCCCTGGACTTACATTACAAGACATTGGTTTTGTTGTATGCTACTTTTAGATTTACCTGGGAGGACCTTTTACTTAATAAATAGCTCCAGACTATTAAGCTCGGTGCTGCTGATCCTGCGGAGAGGACCCGGACCTGAGAGTTAGTGGGAGCCACCCTTTCAGACAGACAGGGCGTTGAATGCAAAATTCTCTTGAATTTTAAGGAAGTACATGATAATCTGTTTTACTTGGGAGTATGTAGTGATTTTTTTTTTTTTTTTTTTTTTTTTTGTAAATTTCCAAGGGTGGCTGTGAAACTTACTTTCGTGGTAGTGGTGGACCCTTGAAGCGTTTTTGGAAAGTAGATGAAAGAGGGAGATGTTTACTAATTCTGTTATTTTTATTCAGTGGGTGGTGCTTGAGTGGGTATAATTTCCTCTCTAACATTCTGTCATGTTCCATGTAACTTAGATAAAGCACACTCTGGCATATAGGAATTTCCCTACTTGCTTACCTTGGGATGTGGAGTGTGTGTGGCTTTGTCAGACTCGGCTGATGTAATGAAAAATGGAATTAAAAAACGTGACTGAGAGTCCTACTAAAGTCTGAGCTCTCTGGTTTAAAAAAAAACCAACGCAGCTGTATTGCTATGTCTCACTTACCATATACAGTTCACCCATTTAAAGTGTACAATTCTTTTTTTTTTTTTAACTGTTAGGTTGTGCAAGCATCACAATTTAAGTCCAAAACATTCCCATTCCTCAGTCTCTGATTGTAGAAACAAATGATCTATGACTATTTCTTACCATGAGTATGCAGATTATTTGATGCACAGCTTTTTATTTTACCTTCTTTATAGATTTCCACCCAGGAAAAAATTTTAATCCCAGGTTGTCTCTTACTTGTATGAAGTTTTCTGTAATAATTTCTTAATTATTGTAATTCTATGAACATCAACTGAAATGTAATTTTATTAATAGCTTATTCTGTAAAAATGCTATTAATAATAATAAAAATATCAAAAAACGTTTTGAAGGCATTGCATTACCTGCCGTTTTGGATTATGATCATTCTTTTGTGTGGATAGTTGAAGATTTTAATTTTTTGACAAGCTCAATTGAATTAGGGAAGTAAGTTTGCTGCTATTGCAAAATCATATAATGCATGTTAAATATCAGTTATCAGTGTAATTTGTTTTTTTAATGCAGCAGCTGGTTTCTAGGCTTAGGAATGATAGTTGGCAGATTTTCCTACTGCTTTCCTGTGATGTTTGTTAGAAGCTTCTAGTATAGTTTCTTCATTTCTAAGCTTTTGAGACTGATTGTATGCTGCTTATCTATATATGTAGATAAGTTTCTTGTCTTTCAAGGTCTTTTCAAGAGGTGCTGGAGCAGATTTAGGAACGCAGCATAGTTTAATATTGTTAAGCAGGGATGTGTACCTGAATCTCTTTTGGAAGTACAAAAATTCACCAAGTTGGTACCTCCGGCTACCCAACTCTGATATGGAAACCTGGGGTGATCTGCTGTCAATTACGAGTTGCACCTCAGCTAGAGAACCGTTGTTAATTTATTTGTCCTCTAATTGAAAATCTGGAGCTCGAGCTTACTCATTGATCTTGGTCTAGTTACTGTATTCCCATCCTTTCCTGTGTAATTGAGAAAGAGCTTTTGATAGGAAGTAGTATATGGAAAAGTAATTCAACCTCTTGGAATTTTCAACTAAAATTCAGTTCATAATTAAACATATTAATTTATTTAATATTATTCGTTCCCATTGCTGGGACCGAAATAAGACCATAAGTGCATTTTATACATTTTCTAGCTTTTATAAGTTTGCTTCCTTTAAAATACCGATTTTGACTTTATTCCTCTTAGATGGAAATTTTCTGAGAAAGAATTCCATTTTCTTACGTTTTCTTAGAGTTACATGGGCAACATTGTAGTTCAGCACAGCCCTTGGGTTGCTGGGAGTCTGTTACTGGGTCATTGAGCCTTGGGTGGACCAGAAGGCTCACACTGATGAAGCCTTGGGAAGGGAACTGCCTGGGATTGAATCTCTGCTCTGCTGCTTATCCAGGTTTGCAACTTGGGATAAGTTAGCTTTTCTTTCATGGAGTGGTGATATATGAAACATACATTCCGTAAGTGTTCGTGGTTTTGTTGTCGTTCAGCTGTCTGTATTAGAAATAATGAATTATTATTCAGTGATTTTTCCTGTCTGATAAAAGTCTGTTGTCAGATGTAGATTGGACGCTTAGAGGTTCAGGGTCTTTCATCTAGTTAAATGCGCATTAAAGCATCTATTTGGTGAACATTACTTTTGTGGCATAAAATAGTTTAAATGTGCTTCCCAAAGATCCTGGCTTCCATTAAGATATTCATTTATTCATTAGGAGAGTAATTCATTTTTTATTACACAGTAGCTTATAGCAGGTGTTAGAAACTCCAGTTAACACTAATGGCAATCAGCATTTAACTTTTTTCTTTACTGTCTGCTGTTTTGTGGTTTTCCACCATTTATTCTTAATTGTCATATATAGTGGAAGTAATTAAATCCATGAGTCGCCTCCTCTTGTTATAAATGTTTGTACCCCTTTTAAGTTTGCTTGGCTTTCTCAGATTCTGGTTTCAATTAACATGCTTATGATTTTCTGGGTTTGCAGGGCAGATTAGTAGGCTTTGGTGTGGCTTTTTTCTTTCTTCCTTTCTGCCTTTACGCGTTTGGTTGATGCATCTGTGTACCTAACCCACTTCTCTGGGAGAGGGGATGTGGAGCCATCGTTTTGTCTTGATCTCCAGGAGCCTTGCTTGATTTTGTTTGTTCTGCTCTAACAACGTCTGGATGCTTGTAGTGACCAGCTTGTAGTGGTCAAGTTATTCCTATTGAAGTAATTGTAATTTTTTTTTTTTTTTTGAGACAGTCTTGCTTTGTCACCCAGTCTGGAGCGCAGTGGTGTGATCTCGGTTCACTGCAACCTCCACCTCCTGGGTTCAAGCAGTGCTCCTTCCTCTGCCTCCCAAGTAGCTAGGAATACAGGTGCTTGCCACCACACCCATCTAATTTTTGTATTTTTAGTAGAGACAGGGTTTCACCATGTTGGCTAGGCTGCTCTCGAACTCCTGACCTTGTGATCTGCCTGCCTCAGCCTCCCAAAGTGCCGGGATTACAGGTGTGAGCCACCATTCCCTGGCAGTAATTGTAATATTTTATATCAGAAGAAAAGATAGGTAGACTGTTTTCTTAAAGCAGTATTTGTCATCCCTGAGACATTTCGTGGTTAAGAACATGAGAACACATGTGAAGTAACTAAATATTCAGCAGCTACTATATATTTAAGTAGTTGGGTTGAGAATTTAGCTATAATTTATGGGCAGAATGAGGATATGGGGAAAAGAAGGACCCAGGTAGGTGGTGAAATGCTATCCTAAACCTTTTGAAAGTATTTAGAAAGGAAGTATGTTGATGAAATGCAGGACTTAACGAGAATGTGTGTGGGGAGGTGGTGGGAAGTATGGGAGAAGTGCACATGCTTGATGATGAGAGAAATGATTATTTTGTTTCATGCAAGCAAGCATTCTTCTCAGTATTTTAACCTTTTAAACCATCAGAATTCATTTTGCCTTCCCTGATTCCTCACGTGGTTGGTGAGCATTTGAGAAAAATATTTTATTTTCCATGATATGTGTTTAGATTCCTGGGTATACTCTCTAATGTATTATTGTTGAGCTTGTGTAAGAAAATGAGATGAAGAATGAGATATTCTTCACCAATTACACCAATGACTTTTTAAAAAGTAGAATTCTGTTGGGGTTTAAACATTTCCACTTTGTGTATGTTGGTGGTGATGGCTCAAAAATCCTTTACTGGACAAGGAAGTATATTCATTTATTTTTCAGAGCGGATCTCGCTCTGTCACGCAAGCTGGAGTGCAGTGGCGCTATCATGGCTCACAATAGCCTCTTCCTCCAGGCCTCAAGTGGAGGCTCAAGTAGAGGCTCACAATAGCCTCTACCTTCCTGCCACCTCAGCCTTGCAAATAGCTGGGATCACAGGTGCATGCCACCATGCCCAGTTGATTTTAAAAATGTTTTTGTATTGATGCTGTCTTCCTATTTTGCCCAGGCTGGTCTTGAACTCCTGGGCTCAAGAGGAAGCATCCAAAGTGCTGGGTTACAGGTGTGAGCCACCACACCCAGCTGCAAGGAAGTTTAGTTATTTTATTTTTCTTATAATTATTATTATTTTTGTTTTGTTCTGTTTTTTTTTTGAGATGGAGTCTAGCTCTGTCACCCAAGCTGTAGTGCAGTGGTGTGATCTCGGCTCACTGCAATGTCCGCCTCCTGGGTTCAAGCAATTCTCCTGCCTCAGCCTCCCGAATAGCTGGGATTACAGCCGCCCGCCACCACACCCGGCTAATTTTTATATTTTTAGTAGAGATGGGCTTTCACCATGTTGGCCAGTCCGGTCTGGAACTCCTGACCTCGTGATCAGTCTGCCTCAGCCTCCCAAAGTGTTGGGATTACAGGCGTGAGCCACGGCACCTGGCCAATTATTTCTTTTAATTCTATTTTTTTCTATGAATATTCTTTGCAGTAGATAATCTTTGTGTGGAGGGGTTCTCAGTATTTTTTAAATTATATTTTATAAACTTCCATGGGCTGGGACTGGTTCAGAGTCTTCATAAGCTCATAGAAATGCTTTAAAGTTTGAACTTAATTAAATTTTTTTTTCTAGAAGTTAACTTGTGGGTTTTCTTTTCCTCTTCTCTTCAGTTATACTTGAAAAGGTAGAGAGAATTGCTCTTGCTTTCTTCTCGAGTATAAAAATGTCAAACATTGTTCTTTATTCTTCGCTGAAACCATACAGGTAAAAAGCCCACAGTCAAGCTTTTGCAGACCCAGCTCCCAGCTAGATGAGAAGCAGCTGCAACAGGAGAACTAGCGTGGGGAGCTCTAACCAGAGTAGGCTTTGCTGTTTAGGTTTAGTGGTTGCTATTTTCTACCTCTTTGTGAATGGAGAGGTGGAGGCGGATGAATTAAGCCAATTAATTGGAAAAGAAATACTTACTTCAGTAGCATACCATCTGAAGCAATAGGATGGAAGTTTAAGACTTGTTAATTAAGACCATGAAAGAACTCCATGGACAATGTTGAAAAGGGTTTTCACATTAACTGTGTGTGTATTAGGAAGGGAAAAATGTTTTCACTGAGATTCCTGAAACCATATTGCAACATGAGTTTCCCTCTTGACCTTGCAGCTTATGTTGGTCTGCTTTTCAATATTAAAAGAAAAATGTGGATCCCATCTATGAAGTCATAGCTCATTTAGGGGTGATGTGGTAGATAGGTCCTGGTTAGTTTTGAAGGACCTAATTGCTATATTAGGTTTTATTTTCTAATCCAAGATGGTGACTTTTTGTTGGAGGTGGGAGATACTAAAGAAAAATGTTCCATCTGGATGGAATTTTGTGGGCAGGTAAGTTTTTAGTGTCTCCATCCACAACCACAACAACATTGTGTGCCCTAATTAGTTACGTGTGTGAAGTGGGCCTAACTGGAGTAGCCAGTGAGAATGACTTGGACGTTTTCAGAAGAATTATTTGCAGGTTGGAAAATTCTCACTTCTATTTCCAGGATTGTTCAGTCTGGAGGAACAGTACAAATTAAAGTGCACTGTTTTAGAAGTGGGACTGGATTTTGGCATTGGCAGCTCCATAATTGTAGTTTTGGCCAAAGATCACTGATGGCTTTTGACTCATCACGCGTGAGGAGCTCCTGCAGGAATGCTGAAGAAAAAAGGAAGGGATTCCATGAAGGGAAGTAAAAACCAGAGCAGAAACACCGAGCTTCCCAGTTCCTCTCCCCCACCACCCCTTACGCTAGTGCTGCATTCTATCAAAAGACAGAAGGAAAGATGAAGGCTGGGGATGCTACCTCCTTCCCGCAAGCAATGCCTTATTCTGGCCTTCAGCTTAATACATCATCTCTTCTAGCTTGAATCCTTGCAGGTACTCTTTTTTGGAGATGAGACGGACACCGTTGAAATGTATATACAATGACAGAGTTTATTCTCAGGCTATGATTCTGCGTCTTTTGCTAAGGATGTCAAATCTGGATATTCTCGGTTCTTGTGGTCCCGTATTATTGGTTAGATGAGGAAAGTTAACAGAGATGGGTTGAGTGGAAGTAGCTGGGCCCACCATGTCCTGGATCTTAATGTTGGATAAGTCTGCTGTATTGTTTGTTGAACTCTGCAAGCCCAGCATCTGTTTTAACACGCGGCTGGAATTTGGGGAGACAGCCCTTTCCATCAAGCTTGAGGCTGTGACCTGAGGCATACATCAGTAACGTCACAGAATCATGATCAGAAAGGTCTAAGGGTGAAGTCACAGAATCATGATCAATAAGATCTAAGGGACTGGGAAACCAATATGCTGTTATTTTTGTGCTGCATGTTGACCAAGCACCTGAAATGAAGGAAATAAGCTGTGTTTTGCAGGATTTCTGATGAAGGCAGACCTCACCTGGCTCACTCAGTTTCTCCGTGTCTTGAGCTGGAGATGTTAATCAAAACGTGCATCTAATCAGGTGTTCGTCTTCATTAGTAACACGGAGACTCTATAGCTAGTGGGAAGAACTTTGGTGTTACTGACTTAGCTGATTCCAAGATGTGCTCGGTATTCACATTTTAAAATGCCTAAAATGACAAACAACCCATTTGCATCAGTCACCTTGTTCTCATAGCCTGAGTATGAGTGAATTTGGTCCAGGTTGTTCATAACCTCATCACTTCCTTATAGTCATCGTTGGGCCTTCACTGATTGCATTTAATTGCTATTTAAACAAGATTCACATGGATTTCATTTCAATGCCAAATCATAGTTTAAGGTTTTTTTTTTTTTTTTTTTGAATTAACAAAGGCATAGAAACTGAGTGGCAGCAGGCTGTACATTTGATTTTAGTGAAATATTTGGTGTGGGAGGAATGACCAAAATTTCACTTTTGATTGCAAAATAACTCCCAAATATTTTTGGCAACCTAGTAACAGGAAGACGGTCCTCAAAGTTATGTTAGGTCCTCAAGGATTGCTTACTTATTCCAGGGTAGCTGGAGGCAGGAGAAACTGCCACATCCTTGTACTGAAAGAGATTTCAAAGTAAAAAAAAAAAAAGCAGATATCTTGGATTAAGGGTTACTAAATAGCAGTCATGTTTTCAATTTGAGTGGTATGTAATAAAATACAAATTTCATATTTGAAGGTGCCTTTTTGGTTAACGAAGAGGATGTTGCTGAAGACCTACTGTGCTCATCAGGTATGAGGAAAATAGAGGTCACCCCAGGGAGCCTATAGATTAGTAGGTGAGCCAAGCATTTCTGAGTAATACCAACAGTAACTAATGCTCTAATAGGGTCTGGTAAAAACTTCTCTGAGGTAAAGAGATGCTGAAAGGTGAATATGAGTGAGTGAGGGGAAAAGCTGGGAGGATTCCGGTCAACCTCTTGTTTTTGTTCCCACCAATAGCTACCAGGTAGGGATTGCTGGATTAAATAAAACTGGAAACCTTCCTTCTAGCTGGGGTCCTCATGGAAAGACACTGGCCTCATGGAGCAGGAGGCCTGGGTCTCATCCCTGCTCTGCTCCAGAGGGGTTCAAATGAGCAGATCTTTCTGGGTCCCACTTTCCTCATGTAAAATGGAGGGGTGGCAAATGTTGGTGCATGTGTAGCGTCTGATGCTAGGAGTAGGTGCATTTATATCACACAAGGCTACCGACTTGCACCTGTGTTCTGGGAGCCAATCCTATTCACCACTGGATTTAATTTGCTCTTCTTGGGGAAGTGACCAATGTATGGATTCAACTGGGAAGTTATCCTGGGCTTCTGATGAGTTGCTGTGTGGTCCAGAGAGGCACACACTTTTGTGCAGCCTTATAAAATGGGATGTTTTGGCATCTGTAGCTGCTTCCCTTGGCAGGGAGCAATGGCCTGAGTCACTCACCCTCTTGGTTCTTCCAAGTGCTCTCCACTCCCCGCTTCCCTCTGCTGATGACATACCAGGAGATTCTTCAAACTAGTGTTGACTTGGCTTGAGAGATGGTATTAAAGAGCAGTTACTACTGTACATATCCTTTTAAAAAAGGATAATCACTGCGCCGAATCTGAGGCTGTGAGGCATTTAAAATTGATGTTGATATTTCTTCCTTTTTAATTTTTTTCAGTAATAGTTCTCCCTCTTTTCTGTCCGACGTAAGGGAGGAACACAGCTAGCTCTTCATTGCAGGCTTATCTTCCCCGTTGCCCTCCTGAAATCCTGTTAGTTTCTTGAACCCAAATTTATTGACATATTATTCATTATAACAGAAAATATTAAAGGCTGCTAAAATCTGAGCCATCATGCTTAGCTGAGATTCCTGAAAGACTATAATTTTAACAAGGAAGGCTCTCTTGTTAAGAAACTATGTAGCCCCCCGCCTCTCCACCCCGTTCTTAATATTAATGTTACATTGTCCTCTGTCTGTAAGCTGTTTCCTGATAACGTGCATTGTCATTGGAGAGGAAGACTATTCTTCCCCCAGCTCAGATGTAGATTACTAAGTAAAAAGTCCCCAGAGGACCACATGACCACATGATCCAGGAATCAGAATAGTGAAGGGAAGGCTCCAAGCATGGCCTGGGAGGTCTAAGTCAGGGATACAAATGAAGCTCTGCATCTTGGGGTTTCCTTGCAGATCCTTTTCCTGTGCTTCAGTCCTTTCCACCTTACTCTCCCTTAACGTCCTGGAAACATGAAGTTGTCTGAGTGTCTATTAAGTAGTTCACTTGGCTGTCATGTAGGGAGCAGACAATGATGGTGTGCTTCCAGCAGGCAGAACAGTTCAAAGGCAGGGTGCAACCTCTGCTTTTCCCCCCTCAGACATGACTGTAAGTCTAAATTCACTGTAAATAATGTGTACAGTGGAATAAGTTTTGTAAATAAATACGCATAGCATAGCGCCACGAGGTTACTTATTACAGCTGCAAAGGGCTATTGAGACATCAATACATCTTTTGCTTTTATTGGTGAACAATACTCTGTTGCATGGATATGTCCCATTTTATGCATTCATGAGTTGATGGACACTTGGCTGGGTGGTTTCCATGTTATCGTCATGATGAATAATGGTGCTGTGAACATTTGTAAGCAAGTTTTGGTGTGGACTGTTTTTCACTTTTGGGTGTATGCCAGAGAATTGAATTTCTGGGTCACATGGCAACTGTTTAACCTTTTGAGTAATAGCCTTTTGAGTATTTTTCAGAGCCACCGTATCATTTTACACTCCCACTGCTGTTTGAGGTTCCAGTTTCTCTGCATCCTTTCCAATACTTGTTGCCTGTCTTTTTAGAAAAATAGTTATTGTAGTAGGTGTGAAGTGGTATCGCATTGCTGTTTTAATTTGCATTTACCCACTAATGATATTGAGCATGTTTTCATGTGTTTATTGTTCACTTATATACATTACAGTAGAAATCTTGAGCTTAATTCATATCGTTGTACCTATTCTGAGAGAGCTTTGATTCATTCATATCTTACTTAAATTTCTACTTAAATGGTGGTTTTAAAAAGAGCAGTTTGGAGACAAGAATGCTTATGTTATTTAGGAAAAAATATCATTATCGAGGAAGGTCTCTTTCTGAACAACAACAGCAAAATTTTATTCCAAAATCGAATGCCAATTGATCGTGGTGAATTAAGTGTTCTAGTAATAAGCTGCTGGCTCAGAAGTTAGGAGCCTGTCACATTAGAATGATCCTTTTCCTGGTGGGAATTCCATGTTTCTCTTTATTGAGAACTCAGAACAATTGTAAACCCCTTCAACCAATACTCTACTCCTTCTACCTCTTCAGGATTTCAATGCAAAAAAAAAAATTCTTTTCAATCAAAACAATTACTTTTCTCTTTCTAGGGAAACGTAACAGAGATGGTAGTTTTGCATGAGTTGGAGCCACCAGTTATTTTTGACCCACTCAGGTGTTCATACTTCGTCAGTAGGAAATTCAAGGAACTGATCTTTTATGTACAGTAAAATAAAAACAAATGGGGAAAAAAATCTGCCACTTATGTTCCTAAAGCGTACAGTTTAAGATAACAGTCCCCTCTGTGCCAGCACATCCCTGTATAGCCTTTTCAGAGTTCAGCATGAGGTGTATTTCAATGGCAGCAAGTTCAGTCTTGTTCACAGGTGTATCTAAGTAAAAGGGATTTTGCAGCTGGGATTGATCAAGGATCATCAGACGAGAAGAGTATCCAGGTGAGCCCAATGTAATCACAAGCGTCCTTATTAAACAGAGGTAGGTGGCTCACTGTCAGAGCAAAAAATGAGACGAGAAGACAGGACCGAAGGTGGGAGTGATGCAGTTTGAGGATGGATAAGGGGGCCACAAGCCATGGCATATTAGCAGCCGTTAGAAGCTGAAAAGGGCACGGTATTGGATTCTCTCAGAGCTTGCAGAAAAATCCAGCCTTGCTAACACCACCAGCACAGTGAAACTGATTTTGGACTACTTACTTCCAGAACTGTAAGAAAATTTGTGTTTTAAGACAGAAATGTGATAATTTGTTAACAGCAGCAACAGGAAATTACTGCATACTTTAATGCTTTCTTTGTCCTTTGTTAACACAGGGGTTAGACATTTGATGTTACTGCTTAAGTAACACTCAGTGTCAGGCACACTTCTAAAAACTTTCAGTGTATTATATACACAGCAGACATTCAAGCACAGATAAGGAAATGAGCATGTACTTAACATTCCCCAAGATCATAGAGCCAGTAAACAGCTGGGATTTGAACCCAGACCACCGGACTGTAAAAGTGTACAGTATATCGAATGCTACTTAGCTGGGTTAGGCCACATGACTGGTGAAATTCAGCTGGTAATGTAGTTTGGAAACCATAGAATACCTACCCCTACAAGCAAGAATTGTGTGGTTGATAAATGCTGTAAAGAATGTTAAAGGAGTTCCTTAGACTGGGGTATAGGTTGGTCAGAGAAGGCTTTGAAGAAGGTGATATTTGAGAACTGAATATTAGAAAAGCCGGGGAGGTGAATTTCAGGTGGGGAGCAAGCACAAAAAACTTGATTAGGCTGCGGATTGCTGACCATGATAAGAGTTCAAGAAAGAAATAATTGAAAGTCCAGAAGAATGTTCATTGAGAGCACTATATGAACCCTCCCTCCCATTGTGTGGATTTGGTCACTGACTGGATGTCATGCAAAGGGTAGGAGGAGAGAAAACCTTACACATTCCCATTCTGCCCTGTGTGAGGTCTCAAAAGTAGTTAGTATAAGTTATAAAGGAATTATCTGCCTGTACTTTGTATTGATAAGCTACTTTTTAATTTAATTTAATTTAAGTGATACTTTGTTAGAAATTGTCAATGAACTTGATAACATCAAAAAATGCAAGCTGATATTTTGGATCACTAAGGCTGCAATATATGCAGAAATCTTAAAATTTTTACTCAAAGTGATTATGATTTTGTTTTGCCTATTAGGTGATTTTATATCTAATGTTAATACATTCTAGAACTTTCATATGGGGATAAAATACTAATAATACTAATAATTATTCACACACAGTATTTCAAAAGTAATTTTAAGTACAATTTGATTTTAGGTTAGTTGATTTATTTTTGCTTATGTAAAAAATCACATAAGATTCACTGTTGTAACCATTGTAAAGAGTACAGTTCATAGACTTTTAGTCCTTAGTGCATTCCTTCCTTCCTTCCTCTTGCTTTTTTTTTTTTGAGACAGTGTCTCACTAGGTCACCCAGGCTGAAGTGCAGTGCTGTGATCCCGGCTCACTGCAACCTCTGCCTCCTAGGCTGAAACGATTCTCGTGCCTCGGTCTCCAGAGGAGGTGGGACCACAGGTGCGTGCCACCACGCCTGGCTAATTTCTGTATTTTTAGTAGAGACGGGTTTTGCCATGTTGGCCAGGCTGGTCTCAAACTCCTGACTTCATGTGATCTGCCCACCTTGACTTCCCCAAGTGCTGGGATTACAGGCGTGAGCCAGTGTGCCCGGCCACTTAGTACATTTCTGGAACTTTTTCATCACTCTCAAAGAGAAACCCGATATCCATTAGCAGTAGTCCCCCCTCCTTTCCCAGCAACCTCTGGCAGCCAGCAATGTATTTTCTGTCTTTGTGGGTTGGCCTATTCTGGAGACTTCGTAGCAATGGAATCCTGCAATATGTGGCCTCTCTGCCTCCCTGTTTCCCTAGCTATGTTTTCAAGGTTCATCCACGCTGCCCCATGAAATCTTTTTTACGGCTGAATATCCTATTGTAAGTATATGCCATATTTCGTTCATTTATTCATCATTTGATGGACAGTTGGGTTGTTTATACTTTTTGGATATTATGTATAATGCTGCTGTGAACATTTGTGTTCACGTTTTACATGAGTGCCCAGGAATAGAATTGAATAATTCTATGTTTAACTTTTTGAGGAACCCACACTTGGCCTAAGTAGCTTTCCCACAATTGCTGTATGAGGTTTCCCGTTTCTTCATCTTCACCAACGTCTGCTGTTTTTCTTTTTGTTTTTATTATAGTCATTCTAGTGGATTTGTCTTAAGTTCACGTCTATGGAATCTTTAACAAGTACATATATTTTAACTTCCTATTTGTCACGTAGTACATTGTGTTTCATATGTAAGGGAGAGCATTTTTTTTTTAGGCAAATTCATAAATATAAGCTTGAAGTGGGAAGAAATGTATTATAGTTTTATTAATGTGCACATTTTCCTAATGTAAATACAGGAACAAAGTAGAGACAAGCGACTGAGTTGTTTTCATTATCTCATATTTTGGATTCTTGTTATTTATGTTAAAAAGTTTGTTTTTGGGCTGGGCGCAGTGGCTTATGCCTGTAATCCCAGTGTTCTGGGAGGCCGAGGCAGGCGGATCACTTGAGGTCAGGAGTTCAAGACCAGCCTGGCCAACATGGTGAAACCCCATCTCTATTAAAAATACAACATTACCTGGTCTTGGTGGCACGTGCCTGTAGTCCCAGCTACTTAGGAGGCTGAGTCAGGAGTATCACTTGAGCCCGGGAGGCAGAGGTTGCAGTGAGCTGAGAGTGCACCACTGCACTCCAGCCTGGACAACAGATTGAGACTGTCTCAAAAACAAACAAAAAACAACAACAAAAAACTTTGTTCGTTTCACAGTTACTTGGCTATGTGTTCTAAGTACCTTTTGCTCAGTGCAGAGTGAAAGACCATCTCTAGGGAACGAAGCCTTACTGGCAAGACTAGGGGCTGCTGCAGCCAGATGTCCTTCATGGCCTAGGAAAGTCATGCGTTTTTTCATTGAGTATGTAAAGTCTTCATGAAGTACGCTGAATAAGTGCAGCCATAAGCATACATCACATGGGATTTTGCAGTAATGAAGTTAACAATTTTTACAACAGTGCAACTTTGGATCAAATAAAATACAGTACAATTTACACGGGCTTGGTTTCTGAGGCAAATGTGCCCTTATTTTTATGCTCTGAATTCATTCTTAGTCTTTAATCACAGGTTCATTATGGATGTGATTTAAACATTACATGTCAGTGAACATAAATTATAACTTCAAACTGATACTCAAAATGGGTCTAGTGTGGGTCTAGATGGACAACTGTCTTACATGTTCATTTAAGAGGTATTTGGAGACTGAAGCTGTTTGTAAAAGGGAAAAGTCTCTCTAAGCAAATGTTATTTATTGATTTTTTTTTTAATTCGCCAAGTTGAAAGACCCTTGGTCGAGAAATTCTGTATCAAATTTAGGGGAGATAATCAAAATATAGAAAAATAAGAAATCTTTTCTCAAATCTTTAAACTGTAGATGGTGGGATTTTAAAGAAACTCTTCTGTTTCTCCTGCAGAAAGTGAGCTGTTTCCGGATGCTATGTTGTGTCTTTTAGGACGACACTGGCATGCTGTATATCCTTGCAGCAGCCCTCTGCAGACCCACGGACACCCCCTTCTCTTGTTTAAACATCTTCCAGATGTGTTTCTTTGTATCACACTGACAAGCAATTCCACCGTCTTCTGAGTTTACTGTTGTCCATGTAATTTTGTTTATGATGTTTTTGTGCTGGTGGTTTTTATTGTGCTCTGCATTCTGACTCAGGAAGCCCATCTCCTTTTTCTATTTACGGTAATTACTAGAGAGCATTTTATTTTGGCCTCTGGGGCGTGTCTGCTGTGTTTCTTTGTGTGGGCATGTATGTTAAAATTGGAAAGTGTTTTCTTTGAGGTCAGGGCTTTTGTAAGGTGTTCTAAGAAGTTTGTCAAACCCCAACTAGCTTTAAAAAATTTTTTGTTTGTGTAATATAACCTGTTTACTATTTCTGCTTATAAGCGTTTCTATCATCAACTTTAATGTTAGTAGGAAGAAAAACTTTCTCATCTTCATATATTGACTTTAATTAGTGATTAGTTTCTGGTGATGAGATATATTGAATCAAAGATGGTCTGGTTTTTCCAATATCTCCTTTCTGCTATTATTAAATAAATGAAGAATCACAACAGAGTTTCCCGATACTGGTACTAACACACTGTTTTTGTGTTGTTGGTGGATTAGGACTGAATTACCTCTGACTCAGAGATTCAGGGTTAATGAGATTTTCATCATTGAGTTGGGGCAACCGAAGCTTTGAATGGATGATAGCAGATTGATTCTGTTTCTTGAAGCCAGTAGGTGCTCGTTTTATGTTTCAGTGAATGAAAACTTGTGTCCACTGTAACCTTTTTGCTTTTTCTGAGAATAGTGAATTCTCATTTTCAGAGAATTACTGTCAAGAAAAACATGTATCAAGCCATTCCGTGTGCTCTGTTTAAACAGTTACCTGGTTTCCTTAGTTACAAAGGTTTCCCTTCTTTCTCTCTACAGTTAGTTACTAAGCTTTTAACGCGTACCAGTCTTGATGTTAAGGAGTTGTCAGAATATAGATTTTTTCATGCCAGGAGGCTGATTTGGGAGATGGCGGGACTGAATTCTAGAGCAGCCATTCTGAGTTTATAAGATCTCTGGCACAGGCCATACCCCAACCAGTTAAGTCAATGTGAGGGTGAGGAAGTCATTAAGTGGTTTCCAGGGCGGCCATGCCTGACCACTAGTATTCTAGGAGAGTGCTCCCAGTGAGTGCTGCAGAAGCTTGAACACAAACCACCAGCAGTGGTGATAAGAAGACTTGTTAGAAAGGTAGGAATGTAGCTTTCTAGGAAATGCAGTGAAGAATGTTTTAGGGAGAATCTTTGCTTCAGGAGCTCAAGGATTATGGAAGAAGAAATTCAAACCACAGTGTGTAGGTATAGCAGCATGGTGTGACTCGCAGGTTGGTAAATAAAAACTTTTCTGAGTGGGAATGATTTTCTGCAGTCTCCCTGCAAGTCGTAGGGTTTACTCCTTTGGATGTTGCGCTGCTGTATACTTTACTGTCCCAACAGCTTTTCTGACGGTATGTCCTGCCCCTGATGTGGCATCCAGAGGTTGCTCTTCTGGATTCTTCCTGGATTCATTGACTGGAGAGAAAGTTCATTTCACTGCCACACACATATTTTTGATTTGCGGCCGCCTGAAACCTGAATAGTCTTGGTGTTGCTCAGAGAGTATCTCATGACTATATTTTTAGCTACCCGCGTGGGCAGGCCCTAGGCAGTGTCACTTCACTCACTCGGCCCCTCATTTTTCTTATTTGCATTGAAAGCCTAAGTATAAATAAGGCTATCTGTGGGTAGCGGTGGGGGGTGTGTGTTAGAGAGAGGTGGGTAGGGTTGATTATAACCTCAGCGGGTATTAGAATTTCCCCACCAGCAGTGACAGATGGATTTCTTTTTCCTTTTTTTTTTTTATTTGAGATGGAGTCTCCCAGGCTGGATTGCAGTGGCACAATCTCTGCCTCCTGGGTTCGAGCAATTCTCCTGTCTCGGCGTCCTGAGTAGCTGGGACCACAGGCACCCGCCACCATGCCTTGCTAATTTTTGTGTTCTTAGTAGAGATGGCATTTCACTGTCCTGGTCAGGTTGGTCTTGAACCCCTGACCTCAGGTGATCTATCTTCCTCGGCCTTCCAAAGTTTTGGGATTACAGGCGTGAGCCACCACGTCTGGCCGACTGATGAATTTCTAAGTCCTCCACTGTTACATTAGCAAAACCAAAACCTCATCTCTTATGAGTTAGGGCTTGTGATGTCAAATGTAGATTTTCAGAGAATGGCTCTTGAGTAATTTCTCTTTCTATCCAAGACTCTTCTGTGTTAGTCATTCTTTATATTTTATTTATTTCTATTTTATTCCTTTATAATATTTAATTAATTAATTTTTTTTGAGACTGAGTCTCACTGTGTAGCCCAGGCTGAAGTGCAGTGGCATGATCTCAGTTCACGGCAATGCCTCCTGGGTCCTGGTTCAAGCAGTTTTCTTGCCTCAGCCTCCCAAATAGCTGGAATTACAGGCATGTGCCACCATGCCCAGCTAATTTTTGTATTTTTTGTAGAGACGGAGTTTCACCGTGTTGGCCTGGCTGGTCTTCAACTCCTGACCTCGTGATCTGCCCGCCTCGGCCTCCGAAAGTCCTGGGATTACAGGAGTGAGCCACTGTGCCCGGCCTATTTATCTTATTTTTATGAGACAGGGTCACACTCAGTTGCCCAAACTGGAGTATAGTGGCTCAATCATAGCTCACTGTAACCTCAGAATGCCTGTGTTCAAGCGATCTTCTCACCTCAGCCTCTTGAGTAGCTTGGACCACAGGAGTGTGCCGTCATGCCTAATTTTAAGTTTTTAACTAATTTTAAATTTTTGTTGTTGTAGAGATGAGGGTCTCTTGCTATATTGGCCAGGGCTGTCTTGGACTCCTGGGCTCAAGCAATCCTCCTACCTTAGCCTCCCAGTGTGTGAGAATTACAGACATGAGCCACTGCGCCCAACCTAGTCTTTCTTTTTTAAAGCATTGTTTTCCCAAAGGCTCTGAAAACCTTGTTAGCCAAAAAAAGGCACAGCAAGGTCCGCCAACCTTGACTTGACTTCACTCCTGACTTTTAAATCAATACATAAAGGCTTTTGTTTATTTTTTGTTATTTTGCTCTTCAGTAAATTAGGGCACCTAAATTTATATTCTGAGTTTCGATTAAAACCACCCAACTACATTCATGTCTCTGGACTGAACTTTGGTATTTTCTCTAAGGTCTGTAACAGGTAACAGCACATTGAAAAATTCAGTGGAGGTGACTCCATTTACTGAGTTGAAAACCTTTGGATGTATTCGACTCCCTTTTTTCACACACGCCACATCTAGTCTGTCAGCCTTCTCTTGGCCCAGTGTTGTAAATGTTCCAGAATTTAACCAGTTGTCAGTCTTTGGCACCACCCTGGTCCTCATCTCTTGTACAGGTAACTGCCTCAGCCTCCCTTGTTTTTCCACACCACTGTCCCCCATGATTTACCCTCAACACTGCAGTCAGTGCTCAAAGTCTGCTACTTCTTTGCTCCGAAGTCTCCAGTGGTTTCCCATTTAGAGCAAATTTCTTATCTCCCCCACTTCCTCCTCTGTCCTTTCACACACATCACCGAAGTGTAAATGGTAAATTTCTACATACATCCACTTTGCTTATAACACACCTTTTGTTTCTTGTATGATTGCAAACTGTAAGGATAGGAAGAATCGTAACTTTGCTTCTTGATAGCCATATTTGCTTTCCCTAGCAGCTTTAACTTAAAATGAAGTTGTATGTATGCCATACCACCTTTTTTTTTGGCGGGAGGGTGGGGTCAGTCCTCATGGCTTTGGGTAAGTGTGAATTTCTTCATTAAACCCCCAACTGCCACATTATTCCAGCGTCATAGAGCTAAACAACTGCAAGAAACCTCATTCTGCATAAAGGAAGAAATGTTGGAACTGGCTGGGATGCACGGACCAAAGAAGAGGTTCAGTTTTGTTTAGGTAGCTGAAACAATGGTGATTGTTGTAAAGTATTGTTAGAGGTAGAGTTAAATCTTGTCTTTGGATTGGGAGCCCCCTTTTTTTTTTTTTTTTTTTTTCCCTGAGATGGAGTCTTGATCTCCCAGGCTGGAGTGCAGTGGTGTGATCTCAGCTCACTGCAAACTCTGCCTTCTGGGTTCAAGTGATTCTCATGTCTTAGCCTCCAGAGTAGGTGGGACTACACATGTACCAGCATGCCCCACTAGTTTTTGTATTTTTAGTGGGTTCCGCCATGTTGGTCAGGCTGGTCTTGAACTCTTGACCTCAGGTGATCTGCGCCCCCCCCGCCTCCCAAAGTGCTGGAATTACAGACATGAGCTGCCCCACCAGGCCTGGAAGAGGAGTCATTTAATTTGTCGAAAATATATCAGTTTAAGTGTTATTGAGGTCTTCTCTCAGGGTTACATAGGATCATGCATTCTTTGCAATACAGAACGAACAGCCAGCCTTAGGTCAGTAAGTGAAACAGACATAGCTGGTAAATTAAGACTACTTGTTTATTTCTAGGTGCCAACACATTGGTATGAAAAAGAATTGAGAATGGACTTTTTATTCTTGTCTCTTGAGAAAGGCAACTCTATTTACCGTAGCATTACTGTTGAAGTCATGATCAGTATGCAGTTAGTAAACACTGGCATTTGTTTGGACACGGGGTCTGACGATGAGAGCTTTTGCCCCTATGAGATGCTCATACCTTATCAATTAGGGGTGTTGGTAGTTGTGTAGAAATTAAAGCCTGTAAGGGAAGTTAGGCTGATGATAGGTCTTTATGGGCTCTGCAAGGAAATTTGGAGTTTTCTTCTGAGATTCTGGGGAGCCATGGAAAGGCTTCAGTAGGGGAAGTGGTGACATGGATGGTGTCAAATTGCAGCGTGGCTGTGTTTGTAGAGAAAGAACGTGGGGTAGATGGTTGGAATTGGGATTAGTTGGTGGTAGAGACATTTTAGGAGATTTCTTGTCTTTGGAAAGAGATGAGATTTCTGGTTTAAATAGGTATCCAAGGAATTGAGAGACAGACAGGATTACCTGGATTTTGAAAGCAAATGTCAACAATGAGAAAAAAAGTGCCAAGTCCAGTTTCGGTTTCTAGACCAGAGTAGCCAGGAAGGTGGTGTGGAGAGGGTTGTGGTGGGGAGGGAGGAGATTGTCAAGAAGATGATTTAGTAGTTATCAGTA